>NC_000020.11:3854213-4005728 GCF_000001405.40 Homo sapiens | reverse complement strand
ATTATAGCTACCTGTATCTCTTTATTGTTCCTTCCCAAATCTGAGCATGTGAAATTATGCTCAGTGATATAAATTTGAAATAGAACCTAAATATTATATCTAAATAGTCTCTTTATCTTGGACTGAATGAAAAAAGTTGACAGATAATGAAACGTCAAATTATGAGTTAATGTAGTTTGTGGGAAATGGGTGGGAAGGGAAATCAAAGGTGTAGGCTTTCATTCATTTTCTTCAGCATGAAACAAGTTGCAAAACTTCTTCAGAAATGTGTTGGAAATCTCATGCATGGCTATAATTAAATAAAGGCTTTTACTCAAACTTGTCGATTATCTCTGTAAACAGGGCAGATGGAATTTTCGGCGTAGTAAGATTTTTTTTTTCTTAAATCACAGAACAGTATATCAATAGCCAGGGGCAATATTATACTCAGAAAATCATCTTTCATATTGGTTAACCTACACTAAAAAGCTTTTATGCCAGTAGCTTTAAATATATTGCCTATTTACTGCTTACAGCAATCCTCAAAGAGTTGTTTATGGATGACAAACTAAATGTCAAAGAAGTAACCTGTTCAGGTTTACAAGTTCAGGGTCCAGTTTTGAACCTAGGCCTTCATCCTCTAGAGCCCACCACCTGTCACAGTGGATGTTATCAACTTTTCACAAGAATACAGTCTCTTTACTATTCAGATGTTATCCTGTACTGGCACCTCTGGAGGGCTATTGATAATGGAAGTGCAGAGATCTTTGCAGATAATAGCAGGAGAATAAGAAGAGATTTGGGGTAGGGGGCAGAATCTATATTTTTTAAATCTCTTCTGATGCTCCTGCAGAGCTACTGCAGTAAATAAAAATGACTTGTCAGAATCAGATGGAGCAAAGGGGGTTTATTAGTTTCTTAACATTGCTGTAACACAATTACTATAAACTTCGTGGCTTTAAACAACAGAAAGTTGTTCTTTCACAGTTCTGGAGGTAGAAGTCCAAAATCAAGGTGTCAGCAGGGTTGCTGTGCTCCCTCCAAAGACTCTAGAGGGGAATCCTTCCTTGCCTCCTCCAGGTTTTGGTGATTCCACACATTCTAGTCTCTGCTTCTGTCTTCATATGGTCTTCTCTTTCTCTCTTATAAAGACACTTGCCATTGGATCTAGAATCCATTCAGATAATCCAAAATGCTCTCATCTCCAGATCCTTAAATTATATCTGCAAAGACCCTTTTTTTTTTCTTAAATAAAGTCGGTTCAAATAAAGTCACATTCACCGATTCCTTGTGTTAAGAAATGGACATATCTTTTTGAGGGCCACCATTCAATCCACTCAAGAGAGTAAGATTTTTCCTTGGTAATAATTTTTACTTTGACTACTGTCTCACACAGAATCCGAGATTAGACAAGTATTCAGCAGACCATGATACAAAGTGTGGAAAAATATTGGAAGATAGAAAGACAGAAGATTGAAGTTCAGGGGAAGGTTTATGGGGTCAAGGCAGGTTTCATGGAAGTTGTATTGCTTGAGGTACATTATGAAGGATGGACAGAATTTTATGAGATAGTTGGGGATAGCCTGGGATGTGCAGATAGTGGAAGTATCAAGAAAAAAGATAGGGAGTCATCTTCAGGAACGATAACTAATGCATTTGACTAAAGTCTGGTATTTAGAGAAATAGTGGAGAATGAGGATGAAAAGTCCGGGCCAATTCATGGGAGGCCTTTAGTGTTGAGCTGATGAATTTGTACTTGGTTTAGAGTTGCTTATCCATAAGAATGCTATATTATAAGAGTTTCTGGCCAGGCGTGGTGGCTCACGCCTGTAATCCCAACACTTTGGAAGGCCGAGGTGGGGTAGATCACTTGAGGTCAGGAGTTTGAGACCAGCCTGTCCAACATGGCGAAACCCTGACTCTACTAAAAATTACAAAAATTAGCCAGGTGTGGTGGCACATGCCTGTAATCCCAGCTACTTGGGAGGCTGAGTCAGGAGAATCTCTTGAACTCAGGAGGCAGAGGTTGCAGTGAGCCGAGATCACGCCATTGCACTCCATCCTGGGCAATAGAGTGAGACTCTGTCTCAAAAAAAAAAAAAAAAAAAAAAAAAAAGGAGTTTCTAACATGGGCCTTCAAAACAATGATAAAACCCTTTGAAAGAAATATGTAGATTTTCTTTCAAAATAGATTTTCAGAGGGTTCCATAACCCTAAGAAAAAGTTAAGAACTACTGCTCTATTAGAAATGAAATGTTTTATGCTTTGAAGATGTTTCTGGAAAACTATTGATTTTCTGTTCTGTTTACTTTGAATTGCTTGGAAGATAATTTGAAAATTGACCTCCAAAGAAACTTAGTCAGCGCTGTGTGTGGAATATATTGTAAATGTTGCATATTAAAAGTTAAAATACTATTTCAGAAGGGATGTGAAGGAGGCCCTGGATTCTTAGAAAATGATTACACAAAAAGAAAAATTCTGGGCCGGGCGTGGTGGTTCACGCCTGTAATCCCAGCACTTTGGTAGGCCGAGGTGGGTAGATCACGAGATCAGGAGTTCAAGACCAGCCTGTCCCAGATGGTGAAACCCTGTCTCTACAAAAATACAAAAAAATTAGCCGGGCGCCGTGGCAGGCGCCTATAATCCCAGCTACTCAGAAGGCTGAGGCAGGAGAATCACTTGAACCCGGGCGGCAGAGGTTGCAGTGTTCTGAGATCGCGCCACTGCACCCCAGCTTGGGTGACAGAGTGAGACTGTCTCAGAAAAGAAAAAAGAAAAGAAAAAGAAAAATTCAAAGCATTCAGTTCAGAATGCAGCTGTGACTTCTGTTTTCTGTGTCTTCATTTTCTCTATTTCAATTCACTACCACCATCCATTTAGAACACCAGAATTATATAAAAGCGTGACACAGTTCTAAGGGGAGTAAATGGACAGCTGCATTCCTAAAGTTTTTTTTAAAAATGTATTATATAAAAACTGTATTTTATCTACTGTTGATTTCCAGTGAAATAACCTACTTCAGGAAACTATATTATATAGCTGTCTGGTCATATCTGAGGAAAAAATGATATTTTCCATATAATTTATTCTGTTTCTAAATAATCAACTGCCATGACTTTTTTCATTGATCCTTTTGTTTTCTACCTGAGATTAATATTACTTAATAGACTTACCTACACTATTTTTTCAGACTTTTCTGCTAGTGAGGTTCTTCTTTTAAATTTTTTTATTATGGCCCTGTGCCTATCAGTGGGATTCAACAATTAACAAGGTTTTGCCACATTTGTTTCATTTATCCTTTATCTTTTACCTTTCTTTGCTGAGGTTTTGTTTTGTTTTGTTTTTTTGTTTTTTGTTTGTTTTTGAGACGGAGTCTTGCTCTGTTGCCCAGGCTGGAGTGCAGTGGCACCATCTTGGCTCACTGCAAGCTCCGCCTCCTGGGTTCACGCCATTCTCCTGCCTCAGCCTCCAGAGTAGCTGGGACTACAGGCGCCCACCACCACGCCGGGCTAATTTTTTTATATTTTTAGTAGAGACGGGGTTTCACTGTGTTAGCCAAGATGGTCTCGATCTCCTGACCTCGTGATCCACCCACCTCGGCCTCCCAAAGTGCTGGGATTACAGGCATGAGCCACCACGCCCGGCTAATTTTTGTATTTTTGGTAGAGATGGGGTTTCATGATGTGGCCCAGGCTAGTCTCGATCTCCTGACCTCCTGATCTGCCTGCCTCGGCCTCCCAAAGTGGTGGGATTATGGGTGTCAGCCACCGCGCCCGGCCCTGTTTTTTTTTGTTTGTTTTTTTAAGAGGCAGGGTCTCACTGTCGCCCAGGCTAGAGTGCAGTGGTGCAATCTTAGCTTACCACAGCCTCAACTTCCAGGCTCAAGCAATCTCTCCACCTCAGCCTTCTGAGTAGCTGGGACTACAGGCACATGTCACCATGCCCAGCTGTTTATTTATTAATTTTTTTTAAGTTTTATAGAGATGAGGTCTTACTCTCTTGCCTAGGCTGGTCTTGAACTCCTAGGTTCAAGCGATCCTTCCACCTTGGCCTGCCAAAGTGCTGGGCTACGGGCGTGATTCACCATGCTGGCCTGAAACTTTGTTCTTTGGTGACCACAAATCTTACACATTCTGCTTTCTTTCCTCTACCAGAAATAAGGGTGATTTTTGTCTTTTAAGTAATATTTCAATTATTTCATCCAATATGTGTTTTGGATTTACAATCTTACCTTTATTCATATCAATAACTATTTTATGTGCCTCATATTCAGCCTGAATTTACAGAAAGCTACATTTGTGGTAAGAAGCACTTGATGAATAACCCCACTACATTTTATTGTTTTAGTTCACTTCTGAGTTTATTAGATCTGATATCATTTTAATATTTTTTCAGGCATTTTACATATGATCTGACTTAAAAGTTCCTGTAATTTGAAAAAAACTGGCTCTTCATGAGGTTTTTTGTTTGTTTGTTTGTTTTTGAGATGGAGTCTCACTCTGTCACCTGGGCTGGAGTGCAGTGGCATGATCTCAGCTCGCTGCAACCTCTGCCTCCCGGGTTCAAGCAATTATCCTGCCTCAGACTCCCAAGTAGCTGGGACTACAGGTGCACGCCACCACGCCCGGCTAATTTTTTGTATTTTAGTAGAGACAGGGTTTCACTGTGTTGCCCAGGCTGGTCTCGAACTCCTGAGCTCAGGTAACCTGCCTGCCTCGGCCTCCCAAAGTGCTAGGATTACAGGCATGAGCCACTGCGCCTGGCCACATATATTTTTGCATAGTAAGTTCCAAGTAAATTTCCATAAAGGTAAAAAAGAAGCAGGGTGATATACAGAAAAGCGTGTGGGATTCAAGTAAGTTTTGACCCTATTATTTGTTACCTATTTGGCCTTGGTGAATCACTATTTAGCCTCAAAATGGGGATAATTATCATTGAATATTCCAGTTATTGTGAGTGTAGTTTATCTCCTTAGCTCTCCTAATGATTATTGTTATTAAGCAAGGAATAACAACAAACAATTTTTGCTACATCTCAGTTCCCCTCTTTTTATAAATATGAGTTCAGTTATGCAGCCAGCTTAGCCTGGCTGCTGAACTGTGGCTGGTCAGAAGTTCCATTTCGGTGGATGTCAGATGATGTAAAAATTGTAACTGCCTAACTGTACTACATAGTTCTTAACTTTTAAGGAGATTATATATGCATTAATATAATTTTTTTTTTTGAGACAGAGTTTCACTCTTGTTGCCCAGGCTGGAGTGCAATGGCTTCATCTCAGCTCACTGCAGCCTCCACCTCCCAGGTTCAAGCAATTTTCCTGCCTCAGCCTCCCAAGTAGCTGGGATTACAGGCATGCGCCACCACACCTGGCTAATTTTTTGTATCTTTAGTAGAGACAGGGTTTCACCATGTTGGCCAGGCTGGTTTCAAACTCCTGACCTCAGGTGACCCACCCACCTCGGCCTCCCAAAGTGCTGGGATCACAGGCTTGAGCCACCACATCTGGCCATTAAAATACCGTTTTTGATGATTGTTTTAGGCAATTCTCTTTTGCCTTTTTTTAACAGCTTTATTGAGACATAATTTATATCCCATATAGTTTGCTCAAAGTGTACAATTCAGTGGCTTTTAGAATATTAGAGTTTTCTGTCTATCACCACAATCAATTTTAGAACATTTTAGTTATCATTATTCCAAAAAGAATGGCCTTCGCTCCTCAGTCCCCTCATTCTCCCCGCTCCTCCCCCTTCCCTTGCTCTAAGCAACTACCAATCTACTTTCTATTTCTATAGATTTGCTTATTCTGGGCCTCTTATATAAATAGGATTTTAAAAATGTATCCTTTATGACTGGCTTTTTTCACTTAATATGATGTTTTCAAGGTTCATCCATGTTCTTTTTTATCTTAAGGCTCTTAGAGATATACTGACTTATCCTGAAGGAAGAAAAGATGAAGTGACTTTTTTTGTTTGTTTGTTTGTTTTGTTTTGTTTTGAGACAGAGTTTCGCCTCTCGTTGCCCATGCAGGAGTACAATGGCATGATCTCGGCTCACTGCAACCTCCGCCTCCTGGGTTCAAGTGATTCTCCTGCCTCAGCCTCCTGAGTAGCTGGGATTACAGGCATGCGCCACCACGCCCAGCTAATTTTGTATTTTTGGTAGAGATGGGGTTTCTCCATGTTGGCCATGCTGGTCTCAAACTCCTGACCTCAGCTGATCCGCCCGCCTCGGCCTCCCAATGTGCTGGAATTACAGGCGTGAGCCACTGCACCCGGCCGTGACTTTTTTTAAACAAAGAAAATTGACTAGTGTTTCATGAGTCTTCAGTCACAAATGACGAGAAAAGCCCTATAAACGGTTACTGTAGCTATAGACCTAAGAATGGTGTTCTAGTGTAGAATGTGGAAAAGATTCATGTCCCATCATTCCTTTTAGCTGCATTTGTATATATGAATAATGTCATGGTTGTTAGTGAATCTTTCAGTACAAAGGATAATAATGTGCAACTCTATAGGACTGTTGTAACTAAAACTGTTGCAACACTCTCACTTTTATTTGCTGTTCTCTTGTAACTAATTTTCCAGCTGACTATCCTGCATAACTCAGACATTCTTATATGATATCTATGGTTACATGCTACATTTTTGTTTTTTGTTTTGTTTTGTTTTTTGAGACAGAGTCTTGCTCTGTCACCCAGGCCTGAGTGCAGTGGCCTGATCTTGGCTCACTGCAACCCCCACCTTGCGGGTTCAAACGGTTCTTCTGCCTCAGCCTCCTGAGTAGCTGGGGTTACAGGTGCACACCACCACGCCCGGCTAATTTTTGTATTTTTAGTAGAGATGGGGTTTTGCCATGATGACCATGCTGGTCTTGACCTCCTGACCTCAGATGATCCACCCGCCTTGACCCCCAAAGTCCTGGGATTACAGGTGTGAGCCACCACACCCAGTCACGTGTTACATTATTTATTTTTTTTAATTTAATTTTATTTTTTGAGACGGAATCTCGCTCTGTCACCCAGGCTAGAGTACAATGGCGTGATCTTGGCTCACTGCAACCACCGCCTCCTGGGTTCAAGCAATTCTCCTGCCTTAGACTCCTGAGTAGCTGGGATTACAGGCACACGCCACCACGCCCGGCTAATTTTTTTTTTTTTTTTTTTTTTTTTTTTTTTTGAGATAGAGTCTCGCTCTGTTGCCCAGGCTGGCGTGCAGTGTTGCAATCTCGGCTCACTGCAACCTCCACCTCTCGGGTTCAAGTGATTCTCCAGCCTCAGCCTCCCAAGTAGCTGGGACTACGGGCATGTCCCACCATGCCTGGCTAATTTTTGTATTTTTAGTAGAGACGGGGTTTCACCATACTGGTCAGGCTGGTCTCAAACTCGTGACCTCAGGTGATCCACCCACCTTGGCCTCCCAAAGTGCTGGGATTACAGGCGTGAGCCACAACGCCCAGCCTAATTTTTGTATTTTTAGTAGAGACGGGGTTTCACCTTGTTGGTCAGGTTGCTCTCGAACTCCTGACCTTGTGATCCGCCCGCCTTGGCCTCCCAAAGTGCTGGGATTACAAGCCTGAGCCACCACGCCTGGCCACATTTTTTATTCTTATGTGAGCTTGATGGGCTGAATGCTAAGTATTTTATTTCAGGATAACCAATTATTGCATATTAGTATAAATGAGCTGTTGGGGACAGGATACTTAGAAGTGCAACCCTTAGAGCATATTCCCCCTCAAATTTTTGGATGTAGTTTGAAAAATAAAAGCCAGCCTTTTAGCTTTGAAAACCCAGCGTCTGTGTGCCTCAATCTCTTCCTCTGAAAAGTGGGGCATTTGGACTGCGATACTTAATTAGTGCTGAATGTAGTTCTGTGAAAATAATTGGCAAATGTATTGCCGATGGTCCCCATTATTTCTTACATCATATCAAAAAGATTACATTGTAATGTTAGATTTCCTGTATTCTAATTAGTTGCCTAATGTAGTGTCATAAGTATCTATAGTCTTAGCAAAAGCCATATTTTTCTGTCCAGGTGCAGTGGCTTACATCCGTAGCCCCAACACTTTGGGATGCCAAAGCAGGAAGATCACTTGAGCCCAGGGGTTTGAGAGCAGCCTGGGAAACATAGGGAAACCCCATCTGTGGAAAAAAAAAATAATTAGCTGGGCGTGGTAGCACATGTCTGTGGTTCGAGCTACTCTGGAGGCTGAAGAGGGAGGATTGTCTGGGCATGGGAGTTTGAGGCGACAGTGAGCCATGATCACACCATTGCACTCCAACCTGGGCAACAGAACAAGACCCTGCCTCAAAAAAAAAAAAAATCCTGTATTTTTCTGACCTAGAATTAGAATCCATGATCTGTTATTCTAAATGGTCTGTGAATACAAAATAATTTAAAATAGTACTGACCTACCTAGAACATCAGTATATTGGAAGGTTTCAGCTGTGAGTGACAGAAAACCTGAAACAAGTGGCTTAAAATAAGATTAAAATGTATTTCTTTTTTTTTTTTTTTTTTTTTTGAGATGGAGTCTTGCTCTGTCGGTTGCCCAGGCTGGAGTGCAGTGGCGCGATCTCGGCTCACTGCAACCTCTGCCACCTGGGTTCAAGCAACTCTCCTGCCTCAGCCTCCCGAGTAGCTGGGACTACAGGCACCCACCACCACGCCTGGCTAATTTTTGTATTTTTTTTTTTAGTAGAGAATGGGGTTTCACCGTGTTAGCCAGGATGGTCTCGATCCCCTGACCTCGTGATCCGCCTGCCTCGGCCTCTCAAAGTGCTGGGATTACAGGCGTGAGCCACCACGCCCAGCCTAAAATGTATTTCTTATTCATGTAAAAGTTGGTACAGATCTGGAATGGAGCTTCATGGCATCAGGGACATTTTACCACTTACTCCTAGTTCTCTCTTACCACTCTGCCCTCCTCTTGGGTGTAAACCTCATTTTTATTGAGGAAAATGGTAGCACCTATTGCAGGTACAGGATGGAGAAAGGGATGAAGCAGAAGATAGAAGGCACCTGTCAGTATTCTGTTAAGCATGATTCCCAGACAACTTCATGTGCATCAGTTACATTGGCCAGAACTGAGACATATGGCCGTGCACAGCTGCAAGGAAGGCTAGGAAGTGTAGTCACATGCCCAACCAAAAATTCTAATTAAGTGGAAGAAAGGGAGAACAGATATTGAGGGTGGGGTAGGACAGAAAACCATCAGTCTCTGATACAGACTCATTAATGATAAACAAAAGGAAAACCAAAGAGCAGCTACCATTCTCTAGCTTCCTCTAGAGAAGGAGGCTTCTGTTTCTCGTAGCCGATACTGATTCTCTAAATGGAAATGTCCATTCGGAGAATATACTAATATACAAGATCCGATCTCTACAAAATATATATATTTTAAAAAGAATATGTCATTCTCTTTTCTGTAATTGTGTTAGTGCAGAGAATCTTCCAAAAGAAACCTGCTAAATATATTTTCTGGTTTGAATTTTGGAGTTGATATTATGGTTTATGAGCCAACCTCTTGTGAGTTTGGTTAAGTGTAAATTTTTCCAGTGAGTCTGTGAGCCCCTGGGGAAAATGATGAAGTAGAGAATAGACCCAACTCTTGACGTACTGTGACCTTACTGGGAGCATATATCTTGTACAGCTTCATATGACCTGAGGCACTCATCATTCATTCCTGATCTTGAAGGAAGAGAAAAATTACAAACTTGTATAGTCTTCAATATATCCATCTATAAAACCAGAATAATAGCGCTTTGTGTGATGAAGATTAGTAGTAGTCTTGTAAAACATTTTTATAAAGGAAAGAGAGCTTTCAGGGCTAATGAAATTGCAAGTCTTGATTCTTTAAGACTCATTTAGAGGATTATTCACTGTTCTGAAATGATTGTGATTTTTCAGCATTTTTGAAAAAAAAAAGCAGAACCAAATTCACCCCCCAAATATTGAAATAACATTTGATCTGCCCCATCGTCTCAGTTGTTCCATTGGCTGCCTAAAATCATTTTAAAGATGAAGTCTTCACATATCTTTCTTAAAAGAACGAGGTGATCCTAGTAAACAAAGGGGAGACTTCCAGGCAGTGCTTAGGACTGTAATTTTTAGAAATGCAAGGTAATTATCACCAGTGTCAAACTACCAGGCAGCCTGCACACTTTGCTGATTCATAACCATTTGAAGAATGCTGAATTAGTCATGAACATCTTAGATGCTGTTTTGTGGCTGTAGAATTTTCCTTCTACAAAATTTAGATCTAAAAACAGATAGGGTTTTAATTTATACAGGTTGGCTATCTGGAAATTGTTGTTGAAGAAATGTGGCTAAACTAATGTCTGTTTCTCAGTATTCTGTACCCTGCCCCTGTCACTTCAGAAAGGAGTCCACTTGTGGTTCAGGCTCAAAGATGTAGATCTAACCCAGAGTGGCCCAGGGAGATGTGGCTCAGGCCCAAATGATTCCTAACCCCAATGCCAGCCTCACACCAGAGAACAAAAAGAGACCTGATGGGAATGATGAGCACTCACTATATGCCAGGCACACCCCAGAGGTGGATGTGGGTAACTCTCCCTATATTATAGATGGGACATTGAGACTTGCCTACAAGTCCCCGTGGTGGGGCGTGGCTAAACTCAACTCTGTAAGGTTACTGCCTCTGCTATGCCATCTTTCATGGAACCCACTTAGTGCCATGCAGCTTTCTCTAATTTGCTCTCAGTTCCTGGCTATGAATTGCTAAACTATCAGTGACATTGTTTTCTCTCACTTTTAAGGCTGTACAATGAAAGAATCTTCCATTTTTCATTTGTTAGCTTGTTGCTGTTTTACCACTCTAGAAGTGCTTGTGGTTTACTAAACTTCTTTATTTCACTTTTAGTACGTGCAGTTTATGCATTCTAGTCTTTTGTCTTCAGGGATTCTAAACTCCTGTAGGAATTCTAATACCTTTTTGGGTAACTAAGAATTCACCATTAAAGTCCTGGAATTAATGTGTTCAATCTAGAATCCTCAAGAATAAGAAGTGAGCTGTCGAGGTTTATAGAGAACCCTGTTGACACTTCTCCCAGAGTAGCTTCAACAGGGTCCAAAGACTCGTCACCTTTCCCAGGGGTTTGGTTTTGAATTAGGATCACTGACAGTTCAGCAACTTTATGCTACCAATTAGAAAAGGAGATCACTATGTAGAGAAAATTTAGTGCCTTCTAATCACCTTTGTATACTTGAATTTAGTTATTAATTTACCCTGTCTGTAGAATGAACAAACTCAACTCCTTTAATTTAAAACAAATGAAATAACTCTTTAATGACTGCTCCATTAAACAGAGTTGTATTGATTTCTATCTGTTATACTCCAGAGGTAGGTGTTTTAACCCTGTGCTTTTCCGGGGAGTTATAACTGACTGTTGATGGACAGGTGTCACAAATACAACTGATACATTCAGATTGTCACAGCCAATTCCTACCTTTATTTAAAGAGTGATTTTCTTTTTTCTATCTTTAGGGCCACTCTGGCTCTTTATTTCAGGATGTTTTCTTGATTATCTCATAGACCTAGCAATTCCCAAAGGAGGTTTGTAATATTCAATACTGTTTCGAGAAGTGCCATGACATTTTCAGAATAAAATGAACATTGATTAATTTTAATTTAAAAGACACAGTTCTTTGTCACAGATTGGAGGAGACTAAAGAGATACAATTAATGCAATGTGGGATCCTAGAACAGAAAAAGAATATTAGTGGGAAAGCTGGTGAAAATTGCATAAAGTCTGTATTTTAGTTAATAGGATTATATCTGTTGATTTCCTGTCTTTCTGCTATCCTTAGGTAAGATTTTAACATTTGGGGAAGTTAGGCGAAGGGTATTTGGGAACTCTTGCAACTTTTCTATAAATCGAAAATTATTTCAAAATAAAAAGTTTAAAAATATATACCTTGTTGCCAGTTATTTAGAAATTATGGTGTGGGCCTTTCTGGAGGCCCTCTAAGGCAGTGAAGATGATCCAAGATGCATCAGCATACTAACTGCCCACAGGAACCAACCACGGAAATTGTTTTTACTTGTGTATCCATTCTAACCCTACCAGTGCAGTCCAGGCTTATCAAGGTCCATGGAAGGCAGCAGGTTCTCATGGGAAGAGTAAGAGGTTTGATTTCAGATATGTGGCCAGGAGTGGTGGCTCACGCCTGTAATCCCAGCACTTTGGGAGGCTGAAGTGGGCAGATCACTTGAGGTCAGGAGTTTGAGACCAGCCTGGCCAACATGGTGAAACCCTGTCTCTACTAAAAATACAAAACTTAGCTGGGTGTGGTGACGGGCTCCTGTAATCCAGCTACTCGGGAGGCTGAGGCAGGAAAATCACTTGAATGTGGGAGGTGGAGGTTGCAGTGAGCTGAGATCGGGCCACTGTACTCCAGCCTGGGTAGTAGAGTGAGACTCTGCCTCAAAAAAAAAAAGATGTGAGTTTTCAGTTTCTTCTACCACTCACTAGTGGTTTCAGTTTGGGCAGCTAGCCTGACTTTTCTGAGTCTCAGTTTTTCATCTGAATACTGGGGAGCATAATATCTATCCCATAGTGATTATAAGGATTAAATAATATGTATACAACCTAGTCACAAACTCTAAAGCACAATGTAAAATGTTCATTTTGATTAATATCCAAATTAATCACTTGGAAAAAAAAGGTTCTCCAGTTTCAGGGATTATACATCAGGCTAACTCTTTTTAGGTAATTTTTCCTAGATTAATTGTATTGCTACATTGGATGTAATCAAAATCCATAGATGATATATTTAAAATTGTGCTTATAACATTTTTATTATTAACAATCCATTTGAACCTAAACCAATATGACAAAGAAACAAAGTAGTAAGCTGAACACTGTAGTCTATTTAATACAAAGATTTACTTGCATATTATTTTGACTTATTTAAGCCAATGTCTAGCCTTTTTGCTTTGGAAATTATGACACTAGGAAGAGAATTTCAAATATGAAAATCCCAAATCTGTCAGTTTCCATGAAATTTAAAGCCAAAGTCATTAATGGAATCCATGGAGCTATTTTCAAGGGAGACCCTAGAGAGATACAATGTCCAGTCTACCAATTGTACGAGACTTACAACCTTGTAGTTTGTTTGCAGAAGTAAATTATTCTATAACTAATTGAAAACAAGGAGCTTATTCAAAATACTGAAGTGTACAAATGAACAACAGCAAAAAAAAAAAAGACAAAATACTGAAGTGCTACCAGGTACCTGTGATGAAATTTTATATTTCTTGTTTTACATCCAAGTTTGTAATCTGTGTTACAAACTTACATCTAAAGTTTATTCTAAGTCCGTATTTCATGTGGCTTCATGCTCTGATTCTGCCTGGTAAAGTGCTGCAGTGTGGTTTCAACCAGATTGTAATTATTATTCTTCCTGTATGTTGATATAACTGCTTTACTAAAGTAGCCTCACATAGCTCAATCAGAGTTTTCTCCAAAAATGTCAGTCTAATGCCAAAACCAAAAGAGATCAAAGACATGGAAGATTTCCTAGTGAAGTCAGAGCTGCTCATCAGTAGTGCTTACCTTTGAATAAAGAGAAATACTTTAAAAAGCCAACTGTTATTGAGTGGGTAAAGTAATGAGTAAGATCTCTGTTATCCTCAAGGAGTATTGTATTGCTACACTGGATGTAATCAATGTAGTATTAGAGGATTACAATCAATGTAATTCTGCGCTCAAGGAGTACATTTTCCAACTCAGTAAAAAGTAGTGTATTAGCAAGTATAGATGGAAATTCCGTGTGTGTGTGTGTGTGTGTGCGTGTGTGTGTGTATATAGCCACACATATTCTATTCATGAAACGGCAATCTCATTAGATTAAGACAATAATGTGCATTATTCATGTTATTTTACTGTCATTCGAGAGATATTAGACAACTGAGAAGAAACAATTTATATATAATTATAAATGTATAATTAAAATGATCATTAAATGATTACCTTATCTAAGCAAATGCTGATTTAAGACAGATAGCTATAGGATATTTGTGAAGTATCTAATTATCCTTGTGATAATTTTTCCTCACTACATTTATCCAGAAAAAGCCAGGATTTTCAACTAAGTCTTTTAAATAAGAATCAAGGTTTTTAAATTTCTGTGAATCTTTACAAACAACTGGGACAATTTTCTTTAAAAATAGCTTCTTAAGGCATGGAGCAGTGGCTCACGCCTGTAATCCCTGTACTTTGGGAGACTTAGGCAGGCGGATCATGAGGTTAGGAGATCGAGACCATCCTGGCTAACACGGTGAAATCCTATCTCTACTAAAAATACAAAAAATTAGCTGGGCATGGTGGCACATGCCTGTAGTCCCAAGCTGCTTGGGAAGCTGAGGCAGGAGAATCACTTGAACCAGGTAGGCGGAGGTTGCAGTAAGCCAAGATGGCACCACTGCATTCCAGCCTGGGCGGCAGAGCGAGACTCCATCTCAAAAAAAAAAAAAAAAAAAAAAGTTGTTTAAAAAATAAATAAAAATAAAAATAGCTTCTTCCAATTCCATTTACAATTAAATTTTTTATTCTCTTTAATAGGTAACATTAACATATCCTAGCAGCAAAATACTAAAGATATTATAAACAGGTATTCAGTGAAGTCATTCTCCTTCCAGCCCTGTCAGAGGCTCAATCACTGATACCAGTTTTTTATATATTTTTCTAGAGACCTTTTTAGACAAATACAAAGCTAGCTTCTCTTTTCTTTTTATATCAGAGGTGATATGCCACATGCACTGTCCTGTGTGTTGTTTTTTTGTTTTGTTTTGTTTTTTACTTAGCAATGTTATCATGGAACTGTGCCAAATCTACATTTTTTTTTTTAATTTTTAGAGACAGGATCTTGCTCTGTCATCTTGGCTGGGATGCAGTGATGTGATCATAGCTTGCTGTAGTCTCGAACCTTGGGTCACAGATGATCCTCTAACCTCAGCCTCCTGAGTAGCTAGGACTAAAAGCATGTGCCACCATGCCCAGCTAATTAAAAAATATATATATGTGTGTGTGTATATATATATTATTTTTTTAACTGTGTTGGCCCAGGCTGGTCTCTAACTCCTGGCCTTAAGCAGTCCTCCCACCTTGGCCTCCCAAAGTGCTGGGATTACAGGTGTGAGCCACCATGACTGACCTGGTATCATTCTTTAACAACTGTAAAACATTAGATTGTGATGATATTCTATGACTTAACCAATTACATATTTAGGTTGCTTCCAACCTTTTGCTTTTATAAACAAGTTTGTGTGAAGAGCCTGGTACAAATGTGTCTTTGAGTATGCATGCAAGTACATCTGAAAGATAAATTCCTAAATGTGGAATTGCTGGGTCAATAGGTAAGTGCATGTATAATTTTGCTGAGTTGCTCTTGTGGAAGCCAATAATTCTACTCACAATTCCACTGATAATGTGTGAGAGTACTTTTTTCCCCCAAGCAGAAAGTTTCTGTGGATTTTTTTTGGGGGTGTTTCTGAGTTTTACTTAGAAAGGCCTTCCCCATTTTGAGATTATTTTTAAAATTCTTTGATATATTTTAATATTTTCATAATTTCATTTTTTATATTTAAACCTTAGGTACAGCTCAGATATATTTTAATACAAAGAATAAGGCTATCTTAATTTTTTTTCTCAACTGGCTACCTAATTGTCCCAATATCATTTGTGAATAATCCATCTCTCTCTCTTTCTCTCTAATGGGAAATGTCAGCTTTATGATTCCTATATTAATTTGGGCTATTCTTTAACTTTCTTGTATCTGCCAGCGTAGGCTAGGTTATGTTGTGGTAACAAACAACCTCAAAATCTTAATGGCTTATAACAAGAATTTTCCTTCCTTTTGGTACATGTTCATCAAGAGTTGGCTGAGAGCTCTACTCCGTGTCTTCTCACTCAGAAACTAATGGAGTTGCCACCATCTTGAACATTACCAGCTTTCCTGACTAAGGGAAAGAGGGGCCTGGAGACTCTCACACCATCAGTAAAATGTTCAGCCTGAAAGAGATATACATCAGTTCCCTTCACAGCTCGCTGACAAGTTTTAGTCACATGACTCTACCCACAACAAAACAGCAGGAAAATACAGTCATACATGTGTGCAGAAGGAAGATGGAAAGCTGAAAATATTTGGTAAACAACAACTGTCGTATTTCTATTCTGTCCTGTTCATCTGTCAATTCAAGTGTCAGCAGCACAGGTTTTTCTTTTTTTATTTTTTTTTTTTGAGATGGAGTCTTGCTCTGTCACCCAGGCTGGAGTGCAGTGGTGCAATCTTGGCTCACTGCAAGCTCCGCCTCCAGGGTTCACGCCATTCTCCTGCCTCAGCCTCCCGAGTACCTGGGACTACAGGCGCCCGCCACCACGCCTGGCTAATTTTTTGTATTTTTAGTAGAGACAGGGTTTCACCATGTTAGCCAGGATGGTCTTGATCTCCTGACCTCGTGATCCGCCTGCCTCGGCCTCCTAAAGTGCTGGGATTACAGGCGTGAGCCACCGTGCCCGGCCAGGTTTTTCTTTTTTAGAGTATTTCTGGCTGTGCTTTCATTTTCATTTTTACTTTTAAACTAGAATTAGCCTTTTTACCACTCTTGTCCTCTCAGAAAAGACAAACCCTGTCAGTTTTTTTGAATTGTATCTGCATTAAATTGATAGATTTAAGGAAAATTGACATCTTTATAATATTTAGCGTCTTTACAACCAAGAAGAGGGTATTTTAGTCATTCACATCTTCTTTTGTGTCTTTTATATTTTCTTAATACAGATTGCATGTATTTATTAGTAAGTATTCTTTTTGTTCTTTTAATAAGATTCTTTTTTATTTTACCGTCACCTGCAAATAATCATTTTAATTTCTTCTTTACAATCAGGTTGGTTTTCTTGAAGGATTAAAAAAGATACAGCCATTTTCAAATAACATAATCTATTATCCAAAATATTTTTCAAAAAATTTCATATGGGCCTGGTGCTGTGGCTCACGCTTGTAATCCCAGCACTTTCTGAGGTCAAAGCAGGAGAATCCCTTGAGCTCAAGAATTCCAGACCAGCCTGGGCAAAATAGCAAGACCCCATCTCTATAAAAATAAAAAAATTAGCTGGACTTCATGGTCCATGCCTATAGTTGCAGCTCCTGGGGAGGCTAAGGCAGAAGGATTGCTTGAGCCCAGGAGGTTGAGGCTGCAGTGATCTGTGATTGCACCTCTGCATTCCAACCTGGGCTACAGAGCAAGACCATGTCTCAAAAAAAAAAAAAAAAAAAAGAGTTTCTTTTCATGAGCCATCTCTATATTAATTCCAGTGAATAAGTAGGTTAACATTAATGATAAGTGCTGTTTATTCCAGTTACTGGACACACCAATTTTTTTTATTTTTTATTTTATTTATTTATTTTTTTGAGACAAGATCATTCTCTGTCACCCAGGCTGGAGTGCAGTGGCATGATCACGGCTCACTGCAGCATTGACTTCCTGGGCTCAAGCAACCTTCTCACCTCAGCCTCCTGAGTATCTGGGATCACAGGTGCATATCATCACACCTGGCTAATTTTTAAATTTTTTTGTAGAGACGGAGTCTTGCCATGTTGTCCAGTCTGGTCTTGAACTCGTGGGCCTAAGCTGTCCTCTCACCTTGGCCTCTCAAAATGCTGGGATTATAGGCATGAGCGACCACGCCCAGCCTGAAATACCAAAAAAAATTTTTTTTTTTTATTTTAAGCTGCTGCTGCTGCTGAAGGTGAAGATGCTTACATATGTGATTAGTTACCTATACATCTGGAAAATTTTTGTTTAATTTCCCTAATTTACATGATCTCTACCTATGCTTGCTTGTGTTTTTCTCATATATCTAGCCAGCCTCTTAAGAGTGAATACTCTCTAGTTTACTGTAAATTACTGCCTGCAGTGAAAACTCTTTAAATTATGTTCCCACTCATCCCCTTCCAAGAGTCCAGTACAATCACAGAAGAGGCTGAGCTCTTTAAATATTATGAGAATCTCAGAACCTCTGTTCATGTGGCTCATCGAATCCTCTATTATGGGATTCTTTTCATGGAAACACCAAATTTTTAAGAATCATATTTGTTTTGTGCTCTGCAGATATCTGTTATGCTGACCTAATAGAACCAGGAGCTAATGAGTCTTTAATGTAGACTAAAAATTGGCTCTGAGTAAAGAGGCTCACAGGCCCATTCATCAAACTTGAGAGAGATTTAAAATTAAACATCTGCAGATAATTAGAGGATAGTTTTGAGTGCCAAAATGAGGTATTGCTGTCCTGTTGCGTTTTGATTTTCCTCACAGCAGAAAAAAACATGTTTTCTTGGGAACTAAATCAGCTTTTTTCTAAAATTAAGTAGTTATGGTATTACCCCTAGAGTTTATTTCATGTTGAGATGGGAACCGCTCATTGCTTCGTATTTCTTTTCACACTGCCTTTGTGTAATTATGATGTAAATTTCAACCTGAGAGTATTTTCTTCCTTTATAACTTGTCTTCTATTTCATCCTCCTTCTGTCTCTGCATCACTCTGTGTTGTTTCCCCCTAACCCATATTCCTAAGAGTGCTGCCATCAATTAATCAAAAAACAATGAATCATGTAGAAGTCAATAGTTAAATGTTGATTAGCAGATTCTTTGTAAAAGTATAGGGCTGGGAGTTGTGGCTTACGCCTGTAATCCCAATGCTTTAGGAAGCCAGGGTAAGAGGATCCCTTGACCCTAGGAGTTTGAGGCTGCAGTGAGCTATGATCATGCTACTGCAATCCAGCTTGGGTGATGCAGCAAGACTCTGCCTCTTTTAAAAAAAAGAAAAAAAAGGCCAAGGTGGGCGGATCACGAGATCAGGAGATCAAGACCATCCTGGCTAACATGGCGAAACCCCATCTCTACTAAAAATGCAAAAAAATTAGCTGGGCATGGTGGCACGTGCCTGTAGTCCCAGCTACTTGGGAGGCTAAGGCAGGAAAATTTGCTTGAACCCGAGAGGCCAAGGCTGCAGTGAGCCTAGATTGTGCCACTGCACTCTAGCCTGGGTGACAAAGTGAGACTCTGTCTCAAAAAAAAAAAAAAAATTATACTGCATGCACACTCATGCCTGGGATATAGATGTCAGGAGGGAATTTGAGTTCTACTGAATCTAAGGCACAAAAACAGAAGAAGAAAGGCGCTGGGCATGGTGGCTCATGCCTCTGATCCCAACACTTTGGGAGGCCAAGGCAGGGGGGATCACTTGAGGCCAGGAGTTCAAGACCAACCTGGGCAACATGGTTAAACCCCATCTCTACAAAAAATAAATTCAAAAAATAGCTGAGTATGGTGACATGTGCCTGTAGTCCCAGCCACTCGGGAAGCTGAGGCAGGAGGATCCCTTGAGCTCAGGAGGTCGAGGCTGCAGTGAGGTATGATTGCACTACTGCACCCAATCCAAGCGACAGAGTGAGGAGGGAGGGAGGAAGGGAGGAAGGAGGCAAGGAGGAAAAGGAAGGAAGGAGGAAAGGGAAGGAAGAAAGAAAAGAATTAAATCCATACCTGTGAAAAGAACAGTTAAAAAACAAAGGGAACATGAGACGTCAAATTCTTCTTTGCCCTCAAAGTGAAGTCTCATAAAGATCTAATAGAATGATTTACATTGAAAATAGATTTCATCATTACATAAAAATAGAGAAAATGGCCAGGCATGGTGGCTCACGCTTGTAATCCCAGCACTTTGGGAAGCCAAGGCCTGAGGTCAGGAGTTCAAGACCAGCCTCAAACTGTCTTCAAGGAGAAACCAGACCTCTACTAGGAGAAACCCCATCTCTATTAAAAATACAAAATTAGCCGGGCGTGGTGGCACATGTCAATAATCTCAGCTACTCGGGAGGCGGAGGTAGGAGAATTCGCTTGAACCCAGGAGGCGGAGGTAGGAGAATTCGCTTGAACCCAGGAGGCTGAGGTTGGGGTGAGCCAAGATCGTGCCATTGCACTCCAGCCTGGGCAACAAGACCGAAACTGCATCTCACCAAAAAAAAAAAAAAAAAAATTACTAGGAATATGGCAGAGTAAAAATAGACTCACCAAAATAACAAACATCTGAATTTTTAAAAAATATTCAAGTAGACAAACTTCAATTACGGTAAACAAAGATAGCACCTCAGGCTGGATTTTAGAACTGTGGAACAGCAGCAAAGAGAAAAGCTGTGCACAAACCCAGAGAAAACAATGGTAGCAGAAGAAACAGAAAAAATCCAAAATGTGAAGAAATTGGAATTGTCAGTAACAGGGCTGGAAAGGATAAAAAACACAAAGGCTATTAAAAGGAACTGATCAGGGAAAAAAAATAAGTAGATTAAATGTGAGGCATGGTGCCACACATCTATAAGCCCAGCTACTCTGGAGGCTGAAGCAGGAGGATTGCTGGTGCTCAGGAGTTCAAGTCCAGCCAAGGCAACATAGTGAGACCCTTTCTCAAACAAATATATACATCTGGTTAGAATTAGATGAAAAAAAGCTAAAACATTGCGATGAAACATATTTTAAAATTACAACATCCTTTGATGAAAAAATGGAATCGAAATAATGAGGTAGTCAGTAAAATTAAGGCTAAATGGAAAGATCCCGATTAAAACATAGATGGAATAGACAAATTGATTATGGCAATTCCAATAAACCTAGGTGGTTGTTGTTGTGGTTGTTGTTGTTCCCCCGCCCAACTGCCCTTTAAATAATGGGAAGGAGTGTAAATCGGAGGAAGCCTCAGAAAAGGAAACATTAAAGAAGTTACTGTAGAAAAATAGACTTTTGCCTACAGACTGAGAGGTTTCGGAGTTACTTATTTCCAGATTTGGTACTTAAAGACAAAATACCCAAATACCTACTTGTCAGTTTCTTAAAACTGGAAAGAAGTCTTCTGGTGTATACTGAGATTTGAAAGAAAAAAAAAAAGCTTGAAAGAAAGAAGAGTTATCCTCTGAAGAATAAAAAATAAGGATAACCTCAAACTTTAAACTCAAACAATAGAGAGAAGATACTCTTAGAAAAATGTTTACGGAACACCAGCCATTTCTTGCCTAGCTGTCTGCCTTTTGAAGATAAAAGATTTTTGAACCCTGATCTCTTTTTCCCTGGTGGAACCCTGATGTCTATTTCAAATAATTAAGTTTACAGATTATAAAATATCATAAAAGACTGGGAATACAGAGGGAGACCTTTGAAATATAAGTTGTAGAGACTAGAGCACCTTAAAGGAAGTGAGGCAGTGGTATCATTCAGGAGGGCCAGCTTAGGTGCTGAGGCTCAAAACCTCTCAGTGCAGGATATCCACCGGAGGTGCTGCATTACAGTGTCTGGTCCTCAAATATCCAGAAATGCAGCCTTGCCAGGGATGACTAGGTCCTGGGAAAATCTTGATAACCGAAGCTCACAAGAGGCCATAAAGGTACTCAATGAAGAAGTGAATTACTTCTAATTTGCCAAAAGCTTTCTTTTCTTTTCTTTTTTTTTTTTAAGAGACAGGGTCTAGCTCTGTTACCGAAACTGGAGTGCAGTGGTATGATCTGGTCATAGCTCACCGCAGACTCCAATTCCTGGGCTCAAGCAGTCTTCCCACCTCAGCCTCCTGAGTAGCTAGGACTACAGGTGTACCCCACCTTGCCTGGGTATTGCTATATTGCTCAGCCTGGTTTCAAACTCCCAGGCTCAAGTTGTCCTCCTACCCTAGCCTCCCAAAGCACTGGGATTACTGGCATGAGCCACTGTGCCCAGACTTTTTCACTTGTTTTTTTTTTTTTTTTTTTTTTTTTGAGACCAAGTCTCACTCTGTCACCCAGGCTGGAGTGCAGTGGCGCGATCTCGGCTCACTGCAGCCTCCACCTCCTGGGTTCAAGTGATTCTCCTGCCTCAGCCTCCCAAGTAGTTGGGACTACAGGTGCACATCACCATGCCCAGCTAATTTTTGTATTTTTAATAGAGATAGGGTTTCACCATGTTGGCTAGGCTGGTCTCAAACATCTGACCTCAGGTGATCTGCCCGCCTCGGCCTCCCAAAGTGCTGGGATTACAGGTGTGAGCCACGACGCCTGGCTGATATGTATTTTTATAATTATTTTAGGTGATATATAAATAAAAAGATTACACAGAAAGTCACTGTGTTTAGTTGTCTTAGTGTATATTTTGCAGCTAGTTTTTCTTGGAGTGCTCACTGCTCCAAGCTGGGTATTCTGTGGGTGCTTTATTAAGATTTATTTATATGGCAGTTAGTTGCACCTGCACTAAAATTTTTTCTAGGTTAGGCTGCAAAATAAATATACAAAGAAGTAGCTTTTTTAAATGCTAGAAATAACCAGTTTAAAAAATATAAAGGAAAAAAGACCCCATTTATAATACGTATAGGCAAATATATATATGGTAACTAGGGATAAACTAAAGAAAAGTCCAAAACCTGTATGAATAAGCTATACAAATCTACTGAAAGTAGTAAAATAAAACTAGAATAAATGAAAAGACATACCACGTGCCTGGATGTAAAGACCTCCCTTAGTCCATTTGTGCTGCCATAATAGAATACTACAGACTGAGAAATTTATAATGAACAGGAATTTGTTTCTCACAGTTCTAGAAGCCAAGAAGTTCAAGATCAAGATACTGGCATCTGGCAAGGTACCTGCTGCATCATAACATGGTGGAGGGCATCACATTGCAGAAGGGGAAAGACAGAGAGAAACAAACACAAAAGGGGTCTGAACTCTTCCTTTTATAAGGAACCCACTTCCTTGGTAATGGCATTAATCCATTCATGAAGATAGATCCCTCATAGCCTAATCACCTATTAAAGGTCTCACTTTGTTTGTAGAGACAGGGTCTCACTCTGTCATGTAGGGTGGATGGAATACATTGGCACAATCACAGCTCATTGCAGCCTTGACTTCCCGGGCCTAAGCAGTCCTTCCACCTCAACATCCCAAGTAGCTGGGACCACAGGCATGTGTCGCCACACCTGGCTACTGATTTTTTTAATTTTGTAGAGACAGGGTCTCCCTATGTTGCCCAGGCTAGTCAGGGACTCTTGGGCTCAAGGGATCCTCCCACCTTGGCCTCCCAAAGTGCTGGGATTATAGGTGTGAGCCACTGCAGCAGGCTCCCACCTCTTTTTTTTTTTTTTTTTTGAGACAGAGTCTCACCCTGTTGCCTAGGCTAGAGTGCAAAATGGCACGATCTCGGCTCACTGCAACCTCCACCTCCTGGGTTCAGGCGATTCTCCTGCCTCAACCTCCCGAGTAGCTGGGATTACAGGCACGCACCACCAGGCCCGGCTAATTTTTTGTATCTTTAGTAGAGACAGGGTTTCACCATGTTGGCCAGGCTGCTTTCGAACTCCTGACCTCATGATCTGCCCGCCTCGGCCTCCCAAAGTGCTGGGATTACAGACATGAGCCACTGCGCCCAACCCTCTACCTCTTAATACTGTTAAAATTGTTATTAGGTTTCAAGAGGAGTTTGGGAGGGGACAGATACTCAAACCATAGCAAGACCCATTCTCCCCAAAATAAGCTATAAATTTAATGTACTTTCAATTAACTTCACAATAGCATTTATTTATTTATTTATTGAGAGAGAGAGAGAGAGAGAGAGAGAGAGAGACGAGGTCTCACCCTGTTGCCCAGGCTGGAGTGCAGTGGTGCGATTAGCGCTCACTGCTCCTGGGCTCAGGTGATCCTCCCACCTCACCCTACTAAGTCGCTGGGACCATAGGCATGCACCACCATACCCAGCTAATTTTTATATTTTTCGTAGAGACGGGGTTTTACCTGTTGTCCAGGCTGATCTTGAACTCCTGAGCTCAAGTGATCTGCCCATCTCTGCCTCCCCAAGTGCTGGGATTACAGGCGTGAGTTAGTGTGCCCGGCCCAATAGAATATTTTAAAGACTGGTTTAGCTGAAAAAAAGATTATGTAAGAATAGCCTTGAAAATATTAAAGAGGAAGAGTAGTGTTGAAAATATTGCCCTAGCATATATGAATTAGTGGTATGCTAATTCATATGTAATGTATGTATGTAAAAATATTAAAAAATTAGCTGGGCATGATGGTGCATGCCTGTAGTCCCAGCTACTCGGGAGGCTGAGGCAGGAGTATTGATTGAACCTGGGAGGTGGAGGTTGCAGTCAGCCGAGATGGTGCCACTGCACTCCAGCCTGGAGACAGAGCGAGACTCTGTCTCAAAAAAAAAAAAGAAAAAAAGTGACTCCAAAAAAGGTAGAACTTTAAGACAGTGGAGAAAGAATTTTATAAATGCTGTTGGAATAGTTGACTAAATTGGAAAAACCATTTTAGGTCTTTTTTCCATGCCATAAATTCAAGATGGATTAAACATTTAAATTTAAGGCATAAAACTATGCAAATAAAAGAGAATATAAGTGGGTATTTCTGTCATCTGATGTGGGGAAACCAAAGATAGAAATCGTAAAGCAGGGGCACAAACTCAGTGCCAACAGAAGCCAGGCAGGAAATTGAATCAGCCAAATACACTTGGTAGAAGGCAAAATCATGAAACCATCAATTTCTTTTCTTTTATTTTTTTTGATAGAGGTAGAAATATTTACGTTGAGAAAAATAACAGCCCAAGCACAAGTGGCAACCTACATCTGGTCCAGAATTAGGAAGTGATAAGGAGTGGTAGAAATGGTGACAAATGGCGATTCTGTTGACAATAGGGCCAGGCACACTTACACTGTAACCCATAAGCATTCAGGGCCGCCCCCTCCCCCTGCCCCCCCCAACACACACACACAAATTGTGCAACAACATGGCAGCCTGGGAGCAGAGGCCACTCAGCTCCAGGCTGTTTTTGCCGTGTAAGAATGGAGCCCAGGGTTATTAGATCTGACCTTTTTCTGTATAGAGCTGGAAATTGCTAATTTTATGTTAAATCTCCCAAATCTAAATTATCTCAATCTTTAAAATTTTGTACAGGCCAAACAAAATACTTGTTCAGGCCAGATTCAGTCCAGAGGCCTTGAGTTTATGAACTCTGCTGTAAAGTTGTGGTTTTAGTTTCAGGATTATGCTTACACCTTTAAATGAGTTGGGATGCTTTCCATCATTTTTTTGTATACTCTGAATCAGTTTACAGTAGTTCGCCCTTATTTTCAGTTTCGCTTTCTGCAGTTTCAGTTACTCATGGTCAACTGTAGTCTGAAAATATTAAATGGAAAATTCCCAAAACAATTTGTAAGTTTTCGATTATTCACCATTCTGAGTAGTGTAATGAAATCTCAAGCTGTCGTGCTCACTGCATCTCACCCAGGACGTGAATCATCCCCTGCCCAGTGTCTGCATGCTGTGTACACTACCTGCCCATTAGGGTCTTGGTTATCAGTTCAAAAAAACGTAGGACTCGGTGCTATCCGGGTTTTCAGGCATCCAGTGGGGGTCTGTGAACATATCTACCATCGATAAGCAGGGACTACTGTACATAGCAGACTACTTATCTATGCAAGTTTAGCGAGTTCCACTTTCATTGCCATTGGGGTCTGAAGCCTTTTTTGTGAAGATATTTCTATATTTTCAAGTTTTCTTCTTGAGCCAGTTTTGGTTATATTCCTATAAAATCTATTCTAGAATTTAAAATTAATACTCAAATTATCTCATGGATGTTTTTAAATCTCTGCATAAGAATTTTTTTATCTGTCTCATTCTTAGTGTTTTGGTTAGTTGATTTCAATTCCTTTCATTGTTTTGTTTTAATTCATACATTTTTGTTTGACCTTTATTAATTCCTTCTTCTGGCTTATTTTGTTTGATTTGTTCTTTTTCTACTTTCCAGAATTGAATTCTTGTGTCCATTTATTTTCATTATTCTTTTTTAGATTGATAATACGATCAGTTACACTTATACACCTACACAGTAGCCTGTAAGAATACTTTTCCCATGTTGAAGGTAATGGATTTTTCTCTCAGTATGAGATTTTTTTCCCACAATGTGATTAACTTCTAAATGGTCTGTGATTTGTTTTAGTTACTTACTAGACAGAAGTCATTTTATTTTATTTTATTTTATTTATTTTTTTGAGGTGGAGTTTCACTCTTGTCACCTAGGTTGGAGTGCAATGGCGTAATCTCTGCTCACTGCAACCTCTGCTTCCTGGGTTCAAGGGATTCTCCTGCCTCAGCCTCCTGAGTAGCTGAGATTACAGGCACCCACCACCACACCCGGCTAATTTTTGTATTTTTAGTAGAGACGGGGTTTCACCATGTTGGCCGTGCTGGTCTGAACTCCTGACCTCAGGTGATCCACCCACCTTGGCCTCCCAAAGTGCTGTGCTGAGATTACAGCTGTGAGCCACCACACCTGGCCTGAAGTCATTTTAAAGATTATTTTTTGAATTTATAAGTAGTTTCCTTTTGTTTATCTTTTTATTGTTGAGTTAATTTTACACATTGTAGTCACGTATTGTGGCCTCTAAGAGTTCTGTTCTGTGGAATCTTCCTATAGCATGATAAATAGTTTATCTAAATGTAGATGTTCCAGATTCATATGAAAAGGTGTTTTCTTTGTTAAGACACAAAGTTATACACACACACGCACACACAGTATAGATACGTAGATATATAATATATATATATTATTTGTTTTGGGTTTTTTTTTTTTTTTGACAGAGTCTCACTCTTTTGCCTAGGCTTGAGTGCAGTGGCGCGATCTTGGCTCACTGCACCCTCCGCCTTCCGAGTTTAACCGTTTCTCCTGCCTCAGCTGGGATTACAGGCGCACGCCACCGCGCCTGGCTAATGTTTGTATTTTTAGTAGAGATGGGGTTTCACCATGTTGGCCAGACTGATCTTGAACTCCTGACCTCAGGTGATCCACCCACCTCGGCCTCCCAAAGTGCTGGGATTACAGGCATGAGCCACCACACCCAGCCAATATATATATTATTTGTTAATGGTATTGTTTATGTCCTCTTTTTTGTTATATCTCATTTGGAGATTAATATTTCTATCACTATAAAACATCATTGTTCATATAGCTTTTTAGCCTTTATTTCTACTTTTTTTAAAAATAATTAGCACTCCTGCTTGCTTTCTTATACTTGCCTGCTATATTTTTGTTTATTTTCTTATTGCATCCCGCATTTAAAAATATCTTAGAATCATTTAAAGTGTTTTCTTATAATAAAGCTGAATATTGTTCTTATATAATTTTAGAGTCTTTTTTGATTAAAGCATAGCTGTACATATTTTGGGGGCACATGATATTTTGGTATATGTGTACAATGTATAATGATTAAATCATGGTAATTGAGATATCAGCTCAAATATTTTTCTCTGTTGGGAATATTGCAAATTCTTCTCTTCTAGCTATTTTGAAATATACATTAATTTTTTTTTACTTTTAAAATTTAGTTTTCTTGGCTGGGCGTGGTGGCTCATGTCTGTAATTCCAGCACTTTGGGAGGCCAAGGTGGGCGGATCACAATGTCAGGACTTCAAGACCGGCCTGGCCAACAGGGCGAAACCCCGTCTCTACTAAAAATACAAAAATTAGCCGGGTATGGTGGCACACACCTGTAATCCCAGCTACTCAGGATGCTGAGGTTGCAGTGAGCCGAGATCACGCCACTGCACTCTAGCCTGGGCGAGAGAGTGAGACTCCATCTCAAAAAAAAAAAAAAATTAGTTTTCTTCATTTCGTAGTGTTTGGAATACAACAAAGTATTAACTACAGTTTCCCTATTGCACTGTAAAATACTAGAACTTATTCTTTGTGTCTAACTGTATTTTTGTACGTGTTAACCAGCTTCTCCTCATCCTAGAGTCTTTCTGGGGTTTTTTGTGTGTGTGCCAAATCGTGGAAGCTAGAGCCCTTTTTTTTTTTTTTTTTTGAGACGGAGTCTCGCTGTGTCGCCCAGGCTGGAGTGCAGTGGCGCAATCTCTGCTCGCTGCAAGCTCTGCCTCTGGGTTCATGCCATTCTCCTGCCTCAGCCTCCCGAGTGGCTAGGACTACAGGCGCCCACCACCACATCCGGCTAATTTTTTGTATTTTTAGTAGACACGGGGTTTCACCGTGTTAGCCAGGATGGTCTCGATCTCCTGACCTCGTGATCCGCCCGCCTCGGCCTCCCAAAGTCCTGGGATTACAGGCGTGAGCCACCATGCCTGGCCTAGAGCCTTTTTAAATAGGATTTAAACCATTTATTTTTCTCATGATTTATTTTTCGTTTTGTTCCTACCATTTTATTTTATATTTCTATAATTTGCTTTCTTATGACCCCCCTTCTTCCCCTTTTTACCCTATATTTTGCTGAAATTATCCAGGTTTCTTTGCTGCTTTTTCCTCTCTGCTAGTCATGAAAATTATACATACTGTTTGTGGCTCCCTACATTTTAAAACACGTATTTAGACTTATACTTCTGTAACAACTTTTTAAATTAAGTAGTTATAGCTTTTCAAAATAAAACTATTAGCACAACTTAACTTTCTTCTCCCCGTTCCATCTTCCATGCTTTGCTGAAATAACCTGAAGCCTTAATCTAGATTACTATGGGGGATTTTAATTAGTGGAATGATTACGTACCTATATAAAGAGAAAGAAATGTACTTGAATGTCTGAAAATGTCTTTTTCCTTCTTTCTTTTTTTTCTATACAAATGAAAGATAGTTTGGCTGGATATACAGTTCTAATATCACAGTTCTTTTCCATCAGACCTGTATAGATGTTGCTCCATTGTATATTTTTTAATTAAAATTTTTATTTTAATTATAGACTCACATGCAGCTACAATAAACAGTACAGAAAGATCCTATGTACTCTTTTCACAATTTCCTGTAATGATAACATCTTGTAAAACTATAGTATAATATCATAACCAGGATATTAACTTTGATACAGTCAACATACAGAAGGTTTCCATCACATCAGGGATTTCTTACAGTACATCAAGATAAGTGTACTTATACAGTATGTAACCTGGGATTGGCTTTTTTCATTCACCATAATTATCTGGAAAGTGACTCTGATTATTGCATCTATCAATAGTTTGTTTCTTTTTATTGCTGAGTGGCATTTGACGATGTGCATACCTCAAGTTTGTTTAATCGTTCACCCATTGAATGATATTTGGGTTGTTTCTAATTTTAGACCATTACAGATAAAGCTGCTATGAACATTTGTGTTGAGGTTTGTATGTGAACATAGGTTTTCATTTCCCTGGAATAAATGCCCAGGAGTGCAACTGCTGAGTTGTATGGCAGTTGCATGTTTAATTTTACAAGAAACTGACAAACTATTTTCCAGAGTGGCTATACCATATTATATTCCCACCAACAAGATAAAGTGCTCTAGTTTCTCTGCATTCTTGCCAGCATTTGGTGTTGTTACAATTTTTTATTTTAGCAATTCTGATAGGTTTAATTTAGTAATTTCTCATTGTGGCTTTAATTTCTATTTCCCTAATAGCTAATGATTTTGAACATACGTTTATGTACTTATTTACCATCTGTATATTCCCTTTGGTGAAATATCTCTTTTGCCCATTTTCTAATTGAATTGTTTCCTAGGGCTGCCTTAACAACGTGCCATAAACTGGGTGCCTTAAAACAACAGAAAATCTATTGTCTCACAATTCTGGGGTTTAGAAGTCTGAAATCAAGATGTTGGTGGCCAGGCATAGTGGCTCACACATGTAATCCCAACACTTTGGGAAGCCAAGGTGGGCAGATCACTTGAGTCCAGGAGTTCAAGACCAGCCTGACCAACACGGTGAAACCCCATCTCTACTAAAAATGCAAAGATGAACAGAGCATGGTGGTGCACTCCTATAGTCCCAGCTACTAGGGAGGCTGAGGCAGGAGAATCACTTGCAAAAAAAAAAATAGCAAGGTTGTTCCTTCTGAGGGCTCTGAGAAAGGATTTGTTCATGCCTCTCTTCTGATGACAGCCAGCAATCCTTCAGTCTCTGCTTCTTATATCACTCAGCATTCTCTCCTCCTGTATCTCTCTCTGTGTGTCTCTTTTCCTCTTATAAAGACACCAGTCATATTGGATTACTCTAGTATAACTTTAACTTCTTAATTACATCTGAATTAATTACATCTTCAACAAACCTATTTTCAAATAAAGTCACATTCAGAGGTACTGGGAGTTATATCTTCACCATATCTTTTTGAGAACACAATTCAACCCATAACTGGTTGTTTTTTTACTATTGAATTTTGTGTTTAGATATTAGCCCTTTATCAGGCATACGGTTTGCAAATATTTTTTTCCTAGTCTTTAGCTTCTTTCTTCATCCTCTTGACAGTTTTTCAAAGCAAAAAAAACATTTCATTTCAATGAAGTCCAGTGTATCAATTTTTCCTTTTATACTCCTTGCTTTTGGTGTCAAGTCTGGAGCTTTTTACCTAATCCTAGATCCCAAATATCTTCTCTTAGGTTTTTTGTAACTGTATCATTGTTCTGCATTTTAAGTTTAAGTTCATGATCCACTTTGAGTTGTTTTTTTGTGTGTGAGGTTAAGATCAAGATTCAATTTTTTTGCCTATGGATGTCCCATTGGTCCAGCACTAATTGTTGAAAAGACCATATACTCTCTCCATTGAGAAAGGATTGCACATTTCTCAAAAATCATTTATGCTTATTTGTGTGGGTCTATTTCTGGGTTCTTCATTTTGTTCCATTGACTTATGTGTCTATCCTTTTGCTAAAACCAATCAGTGTCTTGATTAGGCTATGATGAGTCCTTACATTGAATAGACTGATTCCTCTCCCTTTAGTCTTCTTTTTTCAAAATTGCTTTAGCTGTTTTATTTCCTTGTCTTTCTTTCTGTCTACATTTGTTAAACTTGTCTATATCTACAAAAAAAAAATTTGCTGGGATTTTTATAGGAATTATGTTAAACCTATATATCAATTTGGAGAGAATATCTTTCCTATGCTGAGTCTTCAAATCCATGAACATAGTATGTCTCTGCATTTATTTAGATTTTACTTGATTCCTCTAATCATCATTTTGTCATTTTTAGCATATAAGTCCTGTACATATCTAATGTCTTATTAAATTTAATTCTTTGTATTTCTTTTTTTGAACAATTGTAAATGTCATTGTATTTATAATTTCAGTGTTCCTATGTTCATTGCTAATTTATAAAAACACAGTTGATTTTTATATGTATATCTGGTATCCTGCAACCTTGCTGAACTCATTTATTAGTTTTAGAAATTTTTTTGAAGATTCTTTGGGATTTTGTTGTTGTAGATGTTGATGTGGCAAATAGGCTCAGTTTAATTTCTTCCTTTCTGATGTGTATGCCTTTTATTCCCTTTTCTACCTTATTGCACTGGCTAGAACTTCCAGCACTATGTTGAATAAGAGTGGTGAGAGCAGATATCCTGCCTTGTTCCCGGTCTTAGGGGGGTAAGTATTCAGTCTTTCACAATTAAGAATAATATTAGCTGTACAGTTTTTGTTGTTATTGTTTGGTTGGTTTTTGCCGGTTTGTTTTTTGTAGATGCTTTTTAACATGTTGAAGAAGTTCTCTTCCATTTCTATTTCTGGGAGTTTTTTAATTTCTGGGTGCTGATGTTTGTGAAATGTGTTTTTTTTAAATCAGTTAATATGATCATGTGATTTTTCTTCTTTAGCCATTTAATATGGATAGATTACATTGATTTTTTTTTTTTTTAATATTAAGCCAGCCCCGCATCTCTTGAATAAACCTTACTTGGTCATGGTGTTGTAAAATTCTATTTACATATTGCCAAATTCTACTTGCTAATATTTTGTTAAGAATTTTTCTGTCTGTATTTGCCAGACACTGTCTTTATCTGGTTTTGCTATCAAGGTCGCATTGGCTTCAAAAAATGCCTTGAGAAATGTTCCCTCCCATTCTCTGCAAAAGATTGTCAAGGATTTGTGCTCATTCTTATTTAAACTTTTGGTAGAATTCTCTGGTAAAAGCCTCTTGGCCTGGAGCTTTCTTTTTTGTGAATTTTTAAATGACTAATTCAGTTTCTTTGATAGTTATAAAACTGTTCACATTATCTATTTTATATTGGGTGAGTTTTTGTAGTTTGTGTTTTTTGAGGAATTGGTCTGTTTTATTTATGTTACTAAATTTATGTCTGTATATGTGTGTATACCCTTCTTATCCTTTTGATGTCTGCAGTGTCTGTAGTGATCTCTCCTATTTAATTGTTGATATAGGTAATTTGTGTCTTCTCTTTTTTTTTTTTTTTTTTTTTTTTTGTCATTCTTCCTAGAGATTTGTCAGTGTTACTGATCATTTCAAAGAAAAGACTCAGCTTTTTGTTTCATTGATTTTTCTCTATTGTTTTCCTATTCTCAATTTAACTGGTTTCTGTTCTTTAATTTTTAACTTGCCCTTTTTCTGGGTTCTTGATGTAGGAGTTTAGATTATTGATTTGAGATTTTTTATTTTCTTATGTGTGCGTTTAGTACCATGAATTGCCCACTCAGCACTACTTTACCTATGTCTCTCAAATTTTGATATGTTGTATTTTCATTTTCTTTTTTTTTTATTTTGAGATGGCGTTTCGCGTGTGTCACCCAGGCTGGAGTGCAGTGGCACAATCTCAGCTCACTGCAACCTCCACCTCCCGGGTTCAGTCAATTCTCCTGCCTCAGCCTCCCGAGTAGCTGGGATTACAGGCACCTGCCACCACACCCAGCTAATTTTTGTGTTTTTAGTAGAGACGGGGTTTTACCTAGTTGGCTAGGCTGGTCTCAAACTCCTAACCTCATGTGATCCACCCGCCTCGGCCTCCCAAAGTGCTGAGATTACAGGCGTGAGCCATCCCGTCCAGCCCTTTTTTTTTTTTAAACTGAGACGGAGTCTCACTCTGTCGCCCACGTTGGAGTGCAGTGGCGCGATCTCGGCTCACTGCAATCTCCGCCGCCAGGATTCAAGCGATCCTCGTGCCTTAGCCTCTTGAGTAACTGGGACTACAGGTGCGTGCCACCACGCCCGACTAATTTTTTTGTATTTTTAGTAGAGATGGGGTTTCACCATGTTGGCCAGTCTGGTCTTGAACTCCTGACCTCAGGTGATCTGCCCGCCTCGGCCCTCCACAGTGCTGGGATTATAAGCGTTAGCCACCACACCCAGCCTGTATTTTCATTTTCAATCAATTCAGTGTATTTTTAAAAATTTCTTTTAAGACCTCTTTTTGACTTATAGATTATTTAGTAGTGTGTTGATTAGTTTCTAAGTGTTTGGATATTTTCTTGCTACCCTTCTGTTATAAATGTCTAGTTTGATTCAACTATGTCCAGTAACACACTCTATATGACTTCGATTTTTGAAAGGTTGTTTGAGATTTGTTTTATGACCAGGAATGTGGTCTGTCCTGGTGTAGGTGCCATGGGTATTTGAAAAGAATGTATATTTTGCTGTTGCTAGGTAGAGTGCTCTATATATTTTGAGTAGATCCTGTTGTCTAATTGTGTTGTTGAATTTTTCTTTATCCTTGCTGGTTTTCTATCTAGTTGTTTCATCAGCTGTTGGGAGAAGGTTTTGAAGTATTTGAGTATAATTATAGATTTCTTTATATCTCCTTTCAGTTCAGTCAGTTTTTCCTTCACATGTTTTGCAGCTCTGTTGTTTTGTGCATGCACATTTAGGATTGCTATGTATTTTTAGTGGGTTGACCATTTTATCATTAGGTAATGTTTCTTTCTCTCTCTGGTAATTTTATTTTCTGTGAAATCTGCTTTGATGTTAATATAGCCACTCCTGCTTTCTTTTGATTAATGCTTGCATTACATATCTTTTTCCATCCTTTTCAACATGCATGTATCATTATTTTTAAAGTGAGTTTCAGGTAGACAGCATATTATTGGGTGATGTTTTTTAATTCATTCTGCCAGTCTCTGTGTTTTAATTGGCATATTTAAATCATTTATACTTAAGCTTGCCATTTTAAACTTTGTTTTCTATTTGTTTTCACTATTTTTGTTTCTGTTACTTGAGTAATTTTTTGAAGTCCTTTTTGATTTTTTGTAGTGTTTTGAGTGTATGTCTTTGTATAGTTTTCTTACTGATTGCTGTAGGCATTGTATTATATATGCAGTCTACTAGTATACTTTACCAGTTCAGACTAGAAATGTTACCTCCTTTTATGTCCCTTTATCCTCCCTTATTTTTAATATGCTCATCTTAAATATTTCCTCTGAATACATTTAGAACCGGGTTGGACAATTATAATTTTTCTTCAACCACTGAATATAATTTAGAAAACTCAAGAGAAGGAAGTTTATTGTATTTACCCTTATATTTGTTTACCATGTTGTTTCTTCCTTCTTGATGTTCCAAGGTTCCTTTTCTTATCATTTCCCTTCTGTTAAGACAGCTTCCTTTAGTCACTCTTCAAGAGTAGGTCTGCTAGCAATAAATTCCCGTTGTTTTCCTTCATGTGAGGCTGTCTTGATTTCCTGTTTCATTCCTGAAGGGTATTTTTGCTGGATGTAGGATTTTGGGTTGATGGCTCTTTTCTTTCAGCACTTGAAAAATGTGTTCCTTCCTTTTGGCCTCCATTGTTTCTGATGAGAAATCTGTGTCTTTCATATTATTTCCCCCAATGGTATCTCCTTAGTTGCTTTCAAGATTTTTTAGTGTTGTTTTAACTCAATTACCTCTGCAAAGAAAAAAAAAGATTTTGTTGTTGTTGTTTTAGTTTTCAGAAGTTTGACTACGATGTGTCTTGTTGTAGATTTCTTTGGGTTTATTCTCTTTGGAGTTTGTTCAGCTTCTTAAATCTGTACACTTATGTACAGATTCCTCAGCTTGCCGAGTAGCTGGGATTACAGGTGCCCACCACCATGCCTGGATAATTTTTGTATTTTTAGTAGAGACAGGGTTTCACCATGTTTGCCAGGCTTGTCTCGAACTCCTGACCTGAAGAGATCCATCCACCTTGGCCTCCCAAAGTGCTGGGATTACAGGTGTGAGTCACCGTGCCTGGCCCTAGTTCACTTATGCTTTCCCCTTTCTTCTCCATTCTGCTGTTGAGCCCATCGCTTAGTTTTAGTTTTTTTATTTCAATTATTGTGTTTTTCAGTTCTATAATTTCCATTTTGTTCCTCTTTATATCTTCTGTTTCTTTGCTGAGAATTTCAGTGTTTTCACTTGTTTCAAGCATGTTCATAAATGCTTGCTTAAACAATTTGATGACGGCTACTTTAAAATCTTTGTCAGATAATTTTAACATTTTTGTCATTGACATTAGCATCTGTTAATTATCATTTCTCATTTGATTTGTGATCTTCCTAGTCTTGGTACGATGAGTAATTTTTAGTTGAAACCTGGACATTTTGTGTATTATGTTATGAGACTCTGGATTTTTTTTAAACCTGATGTGTTAACTGGCTTCCTTTGACAGCACTCTGACAGTGAAACGGTGGGTTGTAATGCTGCTTCATTAATGCCAGGTAAAGGTAGAAGTCCAGGTTCCCTATTTAGCCTTTATTGACATGGGGGGCGGGGACGGGGCAGGAATGGGAGTTCCAGCTCTCAACTAGGCTTTCACTGATACCTCTTTGGCTGGAAAAGGTAGGAGTGCTTGTTGCCACTTGGTGGTGGTAAAATCCCGATTCTTCACGAGATCCTCCTCTGTCATCACCCCATTGAGGAGGAGTATAGTCACTTTGTTACTGCTGGATAGGGGTAGAAGTCAGGGTCCACATGTAGTCTCTACTGATATCACTGAGGTGGAGCCTCATTTTCACCATGTTGTGTAAAAATTCCAGCTGGCCAACATGGTGAAACTCTGTCTCTACTAAAAATACAAAAATTAGCTGGGCATGGTGGTGGGCGCCTGTAGTCCCAGCTACTCGGGAGGCTGAGGCAGGACAATCGCTTGAACCTGGAAGGCGGAGGTTGCAGTGAGCCAAGATCACACCACTGCACTCCAGCCTGGTGACAGAGCAAGACGCCATCTCAAAAAAAAAAAAAAAACAGATTTCAGCTTCCTACTTGGCCTTTTCTAACACTATCCCAGCAAGATGGCTGGGGGGCATCTCGTTACATCCTGGCAAGAGTGAAAATCTAGGCTCTGCCTTCAGCCTTTGCTGGCATGTCTATAGGGGTGTGGCCATAGTTTTTTCTGGGTTGTTTAGCTGAAGTAGGGCAATTCTTGTTTAAAAGCTTTCAGTCTTGTTAACTACTCCTTTTGTCATCCTTTGGCTAGAGAGAACACGTTCATTAGGGCTTTTTTTTTTTTTTGTCTTCACCTGTTGACATTCTTGTTTGCCAACTTTGCCAGCTCTAAGTCTGGGATATAGGAGACAAAAACAAAGCCCAGAGAACTCGTTAACATGTGGTTCCTTGGGTCCCCAGGTCCCTAGTTAGTGTGCTACCTTCTGTCCAACTTAATGTCCATGGTTTTTAGTTATATTTAGCTGGATAAATAGGGAAATGTATGTCTATGCCATCTTTCTGGAGTCAGAAGTCTACCTGACTGTCTTTTAATGGAGATACAGACAGTGATTCCATTATCTTTTATTGTTGCATTTTAGTTAATAATGAAAACTAACATTTCTCAAGTACACAGTATGTGCCCAGGTACTGTTCTAAGTGCTTTAAGTGCTTTTCGTGTGTTGAGTCATTTAATTCCCTTAAAACTTTATGAAATAGTTACTAGTATTATTCTGTCTTATCAGATGAGGAAACCGAGACATAGAAAAGATAAGAAACAAGCCCCAAATTACTGACAAATCCGTGGTTAAACCCCTGGCTCTCTGACTCCATAAGCCCACTCTAATACTCATGGCCTAGGATAAATCTCAAATCTATATGCTTTCCATTATAACAACTTTTTTTTTTTGGAAACTTATCACAGTTTTTCTATCCTAGAATTCAGAAATTTTACTAGGATCTGTCCAAATATAGGTCTTATTTTTAAAATAATTCTCTCTAGAACCCAGTGTATCCATTTCATCAGAAAGCTTAGGTCTTTCTACTGATCAGTGACATGTTTTTAAAATTTTTAATCTTTCCTCTCATCCACCCACTCAAGAAAAGATTTTGCAGAAGGTGTTTCATGTGGTCATAAAGATACTCAATAAATAACAAAGAAGTTAGTTCCTTCTAATATGTCAAAAGCTTTCTCTTTTAGAGATAGTCTTGCTTTGTCACCCAGGCTGGAGCGTAGCAGTGATATCATAGCTCACTGTAACCTTGAATTCCTGGGCTCAAGTGATCCTCCCATCTTAGCCTCCAGAGTAACTAGTACTACAAGCACATGCCACCATGCCCAACTAATTTTTTAATTTTTATTTTTATTTGTACAGGTGGGGTCTCCCTGTGTCTCCCAGGCTGGTCTCAAATCCCTGGCCTCGAGCAGTCCTCCCACCTCAGCCTCCCAAAGTACTGGGGTTACAGGCATGTACCACTGCACCCAGCCCCTTTCTGAGCATTTTTTTTTTCCTTTGAGATGGAGTCTTGCTCTGTCCCAGGCTGGAGTGCAATGGTGCGATCTCAGCTCACTGCAACCTCTGCCTCCCAGGTTGAAGCTAATCTGCCTCAGCTTCCTGAGAAGCTGGGATTACAGGCGCACGCCACCAGGCCCATCTAATTTTTGTATTTTTTAGTAGAGACGGGGTTTCACCACATTAGCCAGGCAGGTCTCGAACTCCTGACCTCGTGATCTGCCCACCTGGGCCTCCCAAAGTGCTGGGATTACAGGCGTGAGCCACCGCACCCAGCCACCTGTTACATTTTTTATTCTTTCTTTCTTTTTTTTTTTTTTTTTTTTTTGTTGCCAGGCTGGAGTGCAGTGGCGCAATCTCGGCTCACTGCAACTTCCGACTCCATGGTTCAAGGGATTCTCCTGCCTCAGCCTCCCGAGTAGCTGGGATTACAGGCATGCGTCACCACGCTCAGCTAATTTTTGTATTTTTATAGAGACAGAGTTTCACCATATTGGCCAAGATGGTCTCGATCTCCTGACCTCGTGATCTGCCCGCCTCAGCCTCCCAAAGTGCTGGGATTACAGGCATGAGCCACTGCACCCGGCACTTCTGAGCATTTTTGAAGCAAAACTAGAATATTGACTCCTGGGAAGATGATATGGTATTGTCCAGGGAACAGGAACTGGTCTAAGAAGAATGTGGCTACCAAGCATGCTTTGAGGAATGCTACTGCAGCCCCATTTAGCTGTGGTGTATTGTGTTAAACTCAGGTCATGTAGGCATCCAAATCTCAAGTAATCTGTCCCTCTTAGAACTTCTTGGTTCTAAGATTGCTGATAAAATACTCAAATCTTCTTGTCTTTTTTTTTTGTTTTGGTTTGATTTTAATAAACTGACTGGGTGGTTTGAAATTTAGGCTGAGGCTAGAGATTTCAAGAACTGAATTTACATAAGGGGAAAAAAAGGCTTTCACGTGAATGAAGTTGGAAATGCCAAGTAAGCTACAACAGTGTACTGTATGTTCTATTTCTCCTCTTCACTCCCACAAGGAGCAATTACTAAATAACTTATATTTGTAAGACTTCAATAGCAAAGAATGCATATTACTAAGATGATATGTAGCCTTTTATCAATTTATTTTAAAAGATTAATACTTCTGGTGAAAATACATTATGATAAAAATTTTGTAAAAACTAATGTGTCACTGGATCAGGATTAACATCTTGGAATACTCTACCATCTACTTAAAATTGTTGGGCCAACATATCAATTGTAGTGAAGCCATTTTATTTACTAAAACAAAGAGAGAAAAATTCCTAAAATATATTCGCATCAACATATCTTCTACCAGCCTGGATCCCTCTGGTAATTGGGATTTATTAAAAGGCCCTGCCAGGTAGTGAGGACTCACAAAAGTCTCAACATCCAGCCCCCAGCAGCACTAAGGCAGATGTCTCTTCCCTCTGATGACAGTGCTACTACCTCTACTGCTGTGTGTGTCTGAGTCTTTGTACAGAATGCTACAAGAATTGTACCAATTTCAAGAACTCTGCAGGGCAACATTCCCACACCACTGGCCTCACTCCTAGCTAGCCTGTATTAATGGCTGCCTTTGGCCAGACATGGTTTCTAGTTCCTGCATCTGGAGGCCAGGTTGGCAGGCCACCTGACAGAAAGCTGTCAGTGCATGCAGAAGAGCTCCCTGTGGAAGGGGCACTTGGTTTGGTGGAATCCTCTCCAGAGACATGATTTTTGTCAAGGCTTCCTTTATGGTATTTACTACTTTCATTTAATGTCATTCCCTTTCCCCAAACACACACACACACACACACACACACACACACACACACTAAAGCCTTAATAGTTTTGTCCTCTTTGAGTTTTCAGACACTTCATTATCTGCTATCTCATTTTATCCTTTCAGGAATTCCTTAAAGTTGTTAGATTATCCCATTTGAATATCCCATTATCCCATTTGAAAGATGAGAAAATTGAAGTATAGATGGGCCAAGCTCTGACATTTAGCTAGTGACATCCTGGGAGCAAGCATCCAGCTTTGCTGACTGCAAACCTCTCCGTCTTTCTACCATACCACTTTCTGTCACTTGCCTATTTCCTCTTAGCTTGCCCAGTACAGATGTTTATTCTCTTATTTTCTTCTTTTTTTTTTTTTTTTTTTTTTTTTTGAGATGGAATCTCGCTCTGTCACCCAGGTAGAGTGCAGTGGAGCAATCTTGGCTCACTGCAACCAACCACCTCCCTGGTTTGAGCGATTCCCCTGCATTAGCCTCCTGAGTAGCTGGGATTACAAGTGTGTGCCACCACGCCCAGTTAATTTTTGCATCTTTAGTAGAGACACATTGTCGCCATGTTGGCCAGGCTGGTCTCGAACTCCTAACCTCAGGTGATCCACCCACCTCAGCCTCCCAAAGTGCTGGGATTACAGGTGTGAGCCACTGCACCTGGCCTAATCCCTTATTTTCTAAGGTGAGAGATATTTTACCAAGCCAGTCTTGTCTGGGGAGGGATATTTCTAAGGGATTAAAGGACAGCCATCTAAGTCTTGGCTATAACAAGGGTCATCAAGTGAGGCCCTGTCAGCAATATGAAAGTTAAGAGCTGAGTTTTGTGCCCTGTAATTTTCTAATAGCTCCACAGCGTATGTGCTATGTATATTTGGTAAAGCACTCCTTAACTACATCCTTCCTTCCCTTCGTAAGAAGATCTGAATGTAGGAAAAAGGAAATTAAATATGTATTTGAGTAAAAGCACTTGCTCTAACTGAGCCAACCCAGAAAATGGCCAAAGGTTCAAAATTAAATATTACCCATTATTTATGTTTGGAAGCTGTCAGAGAAGAATTTACATGGGATGAAGTTGTTCTTTGCAGGTACTGACTTCCTGATATATGTTACTAGAGACTGGAAACTAATCATAAGATTTAGATTTCAGATACAGCCAGTTAGCATCTCAGTGGTGTCAACAGTATAAATATACTCTTCTGGGAACCTACAAGAAAACTAAAAATCTGTGAACACATTTTTAATTTACCATGCATAAATAAAAGTAGAAGTTTTCTTTGCTTGGTAGAGTTTTGTTTGGGTTTGGATTTGTAGTATTCATAGTTATAATTCCATTGTCAATCTTTGGTCTTAATAAGCAGGCCTGGCAGGAACTCTTTATTTTGTAAGGAATCAAAATGACAAACTACAGCTTATCACTTACAGGAGAGGCATCCTTTATCTGTGGAATTTTAACTGTAGTAATCAGTAAGTATTCTCAAACAAACTGACAGAAATAGTCCTTTTTTTTAATGTTTAAACAACACTTACTGTTTCTGATTATAAAAGTAACACATGAGCAAGGCAGTGGAGCATATGGACTGAGACTGCTGAGTTTGGAGTTGGAGAGGCTCTGGCTGTGTACATACCGGGTCAGTCATGGCCATGGGACCAGAACTGTCTAAGCTTCAGTTTCCTTGTGTATAGAATGGGGAGAAATTGGCCGGGCACAGTGGCTCATGCCTATAATACCAGCACTTTGGGAGGCCAAGTAGGGATGATTGCTTGAGCCCACGAGTTCAAGACCAGCCTAGGCAACATGCTATCTCTACAAAAAAATTTTTAAAAATTAGCTAGGTGTGGTGGCACGCGCCTGTAGTCCTAGCTATTTGGGAGGCTGAAGTGGAAGAATTGCTTGAGCCCGGGAGATTAAGACTGCAGAGAGCTGAGATCACACCATTGCACTCCAGCCTGGGGTGACAGAATGAGACCCTGTCTCAAAAGAAAAAAAAAATTACTTGAAAATGTTTTCATGACCCTTTAATACTATAACATATGACTATATAATTAATCATATTTCCTTGTGAGATATCTCAGTTATTTCTAATATTTTACCATTATAAATATTGTTACTTCAAGGGTTGAGTTATTAGGTTAAAGGCTAAAGAGTTTGAAGAATCTTAAAACTTTTTTTCTTTTTGCACTTCTCTGAGGTTGAACATTTTCATGTTTATTAATTACTGGCATTATTTTAGTGAAATGCCTTTTAGTGAATAAATGCAACTTGCAAAGCTTTTTATATTGGATCTCCAGTCTCTGAAATAGTGCCAGGTACATAATACTCAGTAAATATTTGGCATGGTGAATGAATGAATGAATGGCAAGAATATTAACACTTTGTCTACCATATTTGTTTCAGATGAGGTCATTGTGCCTCTATACGTGCACAATGATAATGCTGTCTTGGTTCTTAGTCTTTACCTATTTTTTTTCCATTCTTTTCTTCCCCCACAGTTCATCCATGAGCTCGGATTTCCCACATTACAACTTCAGGATGCCTAATATTGGATTCCAGAATCTGCCTCTCAACATATATATTGTGGTTTTTGGTACTGCTATATTTGTCTTCATCCTTAGTTTACTCTTCTGTTGCTACTTGATTAGGTAACCAATTTTCATTCTATGTTACTTCAAAATATGTTAAATAATCAATAATCAAGTTTCTGTCCTCAGATTTTTTTTAAAATGAAGTATGATAATTGGCAAATTTTTAAAAAATTAAGATGGCTTACCGTTTTAATCTGTGCATTAGTAATCAGTAAAACACCTTTATATGATCTTCAATCTTATCTACTGATGAAGTGTTTTACTCTGTAGGAGAAAATTGTCCTTATTTATTTTTCTGCCCTTCTACCTGGTAAACAGATACACGTATGTCATTGTCTATCTCCAAGATTTAATCTACTCTCACAGAGATTTCAAAATTGCTTTTCAAGGTGTGGCTTCCTTGTTAGCTAAGGTCATTAGGTATCAGAAAAGTAGGGAAGGCTGGGCGCAGTGGCTCATGCCTGTAATCCCAGCACTTTGGGAGGCCCAGGCGAGTGGATCACCTAAGGTCGGGAGTTCTCGACCAGCCTGGCCAACATGGTGGAACTCCGTCTCTACCAAAAATACAAAAATTAGCTGGGCGTGGTGGCTCATGCCTGTAATCCCAGCTACCTGGGAGGCTGAAGCAGGAAAATCACTGGAACCCAGGAGGTGGAGGTTGCAGTGAGCCAAGATCGTGCCATTGCACTCCAGCCTAGGCAACAGAGCGAGACTCTGTCTCAAAAAATAAAATAATAAAGAAACATAGGGGATGCTCCTTATATCTCATAGATATGTTGACTGCTTATGACTTTTATTTCTTCCTCCAAATTAATTAAATACTTGAGACAAATATAATTGTAATCTACAGAAAAAACCTTTATAAAACCTGTTTATTTCCAGAAATTCCTTTTTCTGACATTTCTATTAAACTATTATTAAAATAATTAGATCAGCCAGGTGCAGTGGCTGACGTCCAAAATCCCAACACTGGGAGGCTGAGGTGGGCGGATTACCTGAGGTCGGGAGTTCGAGACCAGCCTGGCCAACATGGTGAAACCCAGTCTCTACTAAAAATACAAAAATTAGCGAGGTGTGGTGGTGGGCACCTGTAATCCCAGCTACTTGGCAGGAGAATCCCTTGAACCCGGGAGGGAGAGATTGCAGTGAGCCAAGATCGTGCCATTGCAGTCCAGCCTGGACAACAAGAACAAAACTCCGTCTCAAAAAAAAAAAAAAATAGTTTGATCACAGTGTTCTAGGACAATGGGATATAAATATCATCCAAAAATGTAATTAAGAGTAAAAAGTTTAGCACTGTGTAAAGTAACTGTTAACTGAAGAAGTCCCAAAAAAAGTACTGCCACTTTTAAGTTCTAGACTTGGGGTGTTTGTAATTGTAAACACCAAAGCATTTGTGTTTGTCTATTTGTAGACAAGCACCTTCCTTAGTGGAAAGAAAAAAAAATGAGGTACATATATGTAAATACTTGCTGCAGCATTTAATATATTTTTGTGTTACACTTTTTGTTGCATCGTAAACACATTTATTATTACCAATGGACAATGAGTTCTTTATTGTTATTATTATTATTATTTGAGATGGGTTCTCACTCTGTTACCTAGGTTGGAGTGCAGTGGCACAGTCTCTGCTCACTACAGCTTTCCTCCTAGGCTCAAGTGATCCTCCCACCTCAGCATCCCAAGTAGCTGGGACTACAGGTGCCTGCCACCACACCTGGCCAATTTTTTTTGTATTTTTGGTAGAAATGGGGATTTGCAATGTTTCCCAGGCTGGTCTGAAACTCCTGAGTTCAAGCAATCCACCCGCCTCAACCTCCCAAAGTGCTGGGATTACAGGGGTGAGCCACCACATCTGGCTAGACAATGAGTTAAGACTGTTCAACTAGTTCAGATTTTTACATCTCTTTCTAGCAAGAAAAGACAAGGTTTTGTGTGTTTATACAAATGTTAATATTACTGCAATTCCAATATAATAAAGCACTCAAATATAAATTAATAATAGTTTGATAAACATTATGTAAATATTCAGCATTTTTTAAAATTAGAGAATTAGCCATAGCATATATAGGACCTCAGAATATAAAAATATGGTTTTTTTTTCAGACTTACTAGTTTTTTTTGATAATTCCTCTACGAATGTTGATTTAACTTAGAAATATGTAAATTTAATATTCAAAACCAAATTATTTTTTAAAGAGGCAAAAAATATAAAAATATAACAAAATGTAAAAAAAAGAAAATGTTATTAAGGGAGGGTTATCATATGTAAAATATTTAATTCTAAAATATATAGCTCATAATATAGTTTTCATTACTATGTCAAAGAATTAAGTAAGCCTTTAACTTTAAACAAACAAAAACCCACTAATGTACCAATTTGTGATTCTGGGCAAAGTTTTTGAAAAGTAAGTTATGAAACACCCTTTTACCTCATTGTATTCCTTTTAATAATCAAGCAAATAAGTAAAGTGATAATGAAAAAATAATGATATGTACTTAATTTTATCCTTTTGTATCTTTTTTTTTTTTTTCAAGATAGTGTCTCACTCTGTCACCCAGGCTGGAGTGCAGTGACATGAGGCTCACCAAAGCCTCAACCTCCTAGCACAAGTGATCCTCCCATCTCAGCCTCCTGAGTAGCTGGGACTCTAGACACCCACCACCACACCCAGCTAATTTTTTTATTTTTTGTAGAGACGAAGTCTCAGTATGTTTTCCAGACTGGTCTCCAACTCTTGGGCTCAAGCAGTCCTCCCAGCTCTGCCTCCCAAAATGCTGAAATTATAGGCATGAGCCACCACACCCAGCCTTATCCTTTTTTATAATCAGCCTAACAGGCCGGGTGCAGTGGCTCATACCTGTAATCTCAGCACTTTGGGAGGCCAAGGCAGGCGGATCACTTGAGGTCAGGAGTTCAAGACCAGCCTGGCCAACAAGTGAAACACCATCTCTACTAAAAATACAAAAATTAGTTGGGTGTGGTGGCACACGCCTGTAGTCCCAGCTAATCGGGAGGCTGAGGCATGAGAATCGCTTGAACCCTGGAGGCAGAGGTTGCATTGAGCCAAGATTGTGCCACACTCTACCCTGTCTCAAAAAAATAAAAATTAAAAAATTTAAAAATAAGCTAACAAAGCAAAGAAATTAGGATCTGTTACACTAAAATTGAATTATCATGTTTAATCAGAAATGTTCAAACATTTCTAAACTTCATTTACTAGTCATTGGTACGATTGTTTTTTGTTTTGTTTTGTTTTGTTTTGAGATAGAGTCTTGCTCTGTCACCAGGCTGGAGTGCAGTGGTGCAATCTTGGCTCACTGCAAGCTCTGCCTCCCAGGTTCACGCCATTCTCTTGCCTCAGCCTCCCGAGTAGCTGGGACTACAGGCGCACGCCACCACGCCCAGCTAAATTTTGTATTTTTAGTAGAGATGGGGTTTCACCATGTTGGCCAGGATGTTCTAGATCTCTTGATCTTGTGATCCGCCTGCCTCAGCCTCCCAAAGTGCTGGGATTACAGGCATGAGCCACCGCGCCTGGCCAATTTTTAAAATTTAATCATGAGGTAAGGAGCTTTCCTTTGTGATGATCCTAATTTGTTACCTTTAACACTTCAAATGGTAAATTGGGATTTAACAAGTCTTTGCAGTTAATCTAGAGATCTGTGGAGTCAGCTCCTCCAGAATTACCCTAGCTCATTTTTTATGATAACCTAAGCTCTCCAGCACCTTCCCAGGAGGTTCTTCTGTTCTCCAGAGAGCTCCCTCCAGTCACCACCACTGGACTCATCAGAACCATAGGAAGACTATAACTTAGGTCTAAACAAGACAGTCACTACCAACCACAGTCTTACACAGGATTGTAGTATAGAATGTGCTGACTATGGTAGGGCTGTGAACAGGGCACTACTGGAGCACAAAAGAAGGGCATCTTACCTTGCTAAGAAAGATCCTGTTTTATAATGAATTATATAATATTCTAATTTATGTTTGTTCATATTTTTTCCCTGATGGTTATTTGTTGTGTTTGTTATATCTCAAACACTCAGAATCGTGCCTGGCACGATATTAAGCACTCGATAAGTATTTGCTGGGTGAATGAATGAACGGTTCCCTAGTAGGAAGTCATTAGATATGCCTAAAACTAAAAAATCAAGAAGTACCAACACAGGCAAGTTATTTAGAAACATGAAAGTCAGGATCAAAATAGTGAGCTAAAGGGGGAAAAAATGGGTTATCTCTTGAGAAGAGGGCAGAGGACTGCTGATTTTTTGTTATTAACCCTGTAGAGCCACATATGACAACATATGTAACTTGGATAAAATTATAAACAAAAAATAGAGGGGTGATGCATACCCCAGTTACCCTGATTTGATCATTATACGTTGTATGCTTGTATCAAAATATTACATGTACCCCATAAATAGTACAATTATTGTGTATTATGTTTTAATAATACTCAAAAATAAATTTTGAAGAATACAGGGAAATTTTGGGGCTACAGTTATTATGAGGTCATGAACCAAGATAATGACAGTAGATCTAGAAAAGATGTTGTGGTTGTAAGAAATACTTGGGAGGTGAAAATAAACAGAAATTAATGACTGGACATTAAGGACAGAAGGGGTTTAGAATCTTTCTTGGACTTCTGGCTTAGGCAGCTGGGTAGATAGCAATCCCTTCCGAGAGATAGAAAATGAATGGGCACATTTTAAGTGAAAAGATGATAGATTCCATTTCAGAGATGGGGGTCTGAAGATGTTTAATACTTAGTTGGATGTGTAGCTCTAAAGCTTGTGAGAAGTCTGATCTGGAAATAGGAGGTCATGTAATTAATAGGTAGAAGCTGAAGCCAGGAGTGTTGCCTAGAGAGAATGTGTATAGTAAAATAAAATGGGCCCAGGGCAGAATCCTAAGGAAACATTGATATTTAAGAGGAGCCCTTAAAAGAGACTGAGAAGGGATAGCAGGAGATAAGAGGAAAATCGAGGCTGGGAATGGTGGCTTACGCCTATAATCCCAGCACTTTGGGAGACCGAGCTAGGTGGATCACCTGAGGTTAGGAGTTTGAGACCAGCCTGGCCAACATGGTGAAACCCCATCTCTATTAAAAATATAAAAATTAACCAGGCGTGGTGTCACATGCCTGTAATCCCAGCTACTCAGGAGGCTGAGACAGGAGAATCGCTTGAACCCAGAAGGTGGAGGTTGCATTGAGCTGAGATTGCGCCACTGCACTCCAGCCTGGGCAACAGAGCAGACTCCATCTCAAAACAAACACACACAGGGGCACAGAATATTGTGAGAAAGATGCCCTACAAGTAGTGTTTCAATGGATTGAGTCAATTATGTCAGCTGCCAACAAAGAGGATAACAATTGAAAAGTTCACATTACATTTGACAATAAGGTTTTGCATCCTTAATCTTTGGTAGAAAAATTTCAGTAGCATAGGGAAAGGGATGGTAGAGGCTATAATGGGGCAAAACCTGGCTAGTAGGTGAAAGTGGATACAAGGAATATAACTCTGTCTTTGAAGAACCTTGGCTGGAAAAGATTAGGTTGAGGGGAGGAGTTGCTGTAGAATCAAGGAAGTATTTTAGTGCTGGGTTTTTTTGTAAGATAGAGATTTTGGTATGTGTATGCATATATTAAGGAGAATGAGCCAATTGTGGAAGATTTATAAGAAAGAATAAATCATAGAGGTGAAAAGAGACACACATAAGAGAGATAGCAATATTATTCCTAAGCAGGAGAACACCTTTTCCTAAGACAGAGATGAGGGTAGCTGTAGAAAACAAAATATATTGTAGCCATGTGGAGCTGGGAGTGAGAAAGCTTGCATACATCACAGCCCCCTTTATTTGTGTAGTAAAAAATTGACAGTTGAAAATTATAGGGGAGGAAGTGATAGGGTAACACTTAAAGAGAGTGGCAAGGGTTTGAAAGAACCACTGCATGAAAGCTTAGGATACTGAGCATGAATAGATAGAAGGATTAGAGAGCAATGTGGAGAATCAGGCTGAGACTGGAGACCACAAATTTGCAGTGGCCATAAGCTACACGGTTTTATCATTTCTCTAGCACTGTTCAGCATTGTTAATCATGCCTTCTTAAATACTTTTTAGATATCTATTTAGCAGTGCAAAATAAAATAGTGCAATGTAAAATATTAGATAATTAATGGGAGTTAGAGTAATGGAGGAATCAAATTAACTTCATAGAATGAAGTTAATTTAAGGGAGAACTTTCTAGAAGGGATGAATTTTGAGCCACAGATGGAAGAAAAAGGTGAGCACAAATTGATCCATGCTGTAGCTGGAAGTAACAAGTTCAGTTTTGGGAAAACATGCAGATCTAATTAAAAGATTCAAACAAGCAAAATGAATTAACAAATAAAGCCTCATTTTAATGACTTCTAATGGAATTCATTTTATTTATTTTTTATTTTTATTATTATTATTTTTTTTTTTTTGAGACAGGGTCTCAGCCTGTCACCCAGGCTGGAGAGCAATGTCATGATCATAGCTTACTGCAGCCTCAACCTCCCAGGCTCAAGCAATCCTACCTCAGCCTCTCAAGTAGCTGAGACTATAGGCACACGCCATCATGCCTGGCTAACTTTTTTTCTTTTTTTGAGACAGTCTTGCTCTGTCACCCAGGCTAGAGTACAGTGGCATGATCTCAGCTCACTGCAACCTCCGCCTCATGGGTTCAAGCAATTCTCCTGCCTCAGCCTCCCGAGTAGCTGGGATTACAGGCGTGTACCACCATGCCTGGCTAATTTTTGTATTTTTAGTAGAGACAGGGTTTCACCATGTTGGCCAGGCTGATCTGATCTGGAACTCCTGACCTCAAATGATCCACCCGCCTCGGCCTCCCAAAGTACTGGGTTTACAAGCATGAGCCACTGAGCCCAGCTGATGCCCAGCTAATTTTTCAATTTTTTGTAGAGACAGAGTCCCACTATGTTCCTCAGCCTGGGCTTGAGTGATCCTCCCACCTCAGCCTCCCAAAGTGCTGGGATTACAGGCATAAGCCACCATGCCCGGTCCATTTTATTTCTTTAGGTGAAAATAGTTTCTTTATGTGAAAATGGTATTTTTTCATGTAAAGAAATAAAATGTAAAACAAGCAAAAACCCTATAAGGATATAGATTATTTGAACTACATAATTAATAAACTTATGAGAAAGCTATAGCTTTAAATTCATATATTAGGCAAGAAAGACTAAAACCAATGAGCAACGTTTTCATGGAGCTAAAATAAAAGGCCAGTTAAACCCAAGAAAAAATAAAAGGAAGAAAGTAAAAAAGCTAAGCACGATATCAATGAACTAGAAAATAAATGTATAATAGTAAAAATTATTGAGACCAAAGCTGGTTCTTTGGAAAATTAATAAAATTGTTAAATCTCTAGAAAAACTAATCAGGAAAAAGAGGAAAGAAAATATACATTATAAAATATAATTTACTAAAATATAAATTACTAATATCACTAATGAAAAAGGGACATTATTACAAATCCTATAAACATTAAAAGGTCACAAAGAATATTATGCATTTATGGCAATAAACTTGAAATTTTGGGTGAATTACATAGATTCCTAACAAAAAAAGAGGTGTATCAAAACTGACACAAGAAAGGGCATTTATTAAAAAAAAAAAAACACACACACAACTTAACATTGTACTTTCTGGTAATAGACGGAAAGCTTTCCCCTAAGATCAGAACACAATAAGAATGCCCACTTTACCACTACTGTTCAGCATTGTACTGGAAGTTCTAGCCAGAACAATTAGGCAAGAAAAAGAAATAGAAGGCATCTAACTAGAAAGAAGTAACTATCTCCATTTGCAGATGATATGATCCTATACAGAGAAAATCCCGTAGGATCCACACACACACAAAAAAAACTACTGGAACTAATAAATTCAGCAAACTTTCAGAGTCTAAGATCAATACACAAAAATCAGTTGTGTTTCTGTGCATCAACAATGAACAATCTGAAAAGGAAATAAAGGAAACAATCCCATTTACAATAGCATCCAAAAGAATAAAATTTTAAGGAATAAAGTTAACCAGGGAAGTGAAAGACTTATACCCTGAAAACTACAAAACATTGCTGAAAGAAATTAAAGAAGACCTAAATAAATGTAAAGGCACCCCATGTTCATGGATTTATATCGTCTTTATATAGTTACAGTGTCAATATTTTCCAAGGCAATCTACAGATTCAGTGCAATCCCTATCAAAATTCTAATGGCCTTTTTTTACAGAAATAGAAAAAGCAATCCTCAAATTCATTTGGAACTGGGGCCCCAAATAGCCAAAGCAGTTTTGAAAAAGAAAAACAAATAGAAGGACTCACACTTCCTGATTTCAAAACTTCAGAAAGCTACTGTAATCAAAAAATTGTGGTACTGGTATAAAGATAGACATATAAACCAATAAAATAGAATTGAGAGTCCAGAAATAAATCCAAACATCTATGACAAATTGATATGCAAATAAGGGTGCCAAGATCATTCAATGGGGAAAGAATTGTTTCTTCAACCAATGGTACTGGGAAGCTGGATATTAACATGCGAAACATTTGTACATCAAAGGACATCAAGAAAGTGATAAGGCAACCTACAGAATGGGAGAAAAATATTTACAAGTCCTATCTGATAAGGGTTTAATACCCAGAATATATTAAAAGCTCTTAAAATTTAACAGCAAAAAGACAACCCAATTTAAAAATGGGCAAAAGACTTAAACAATTCTCCAAAGAAGTTACACAAATGGCCAACAAGCACATGAAAAGATGTTTGACATTATTGGTCATTAAGGAATTCCAAATTAAAAACACAATGAGATACCACTTCACACCTACTAGGATGCTGTAATCAAAAACAGAAAAATAACAAGTGTTAATGAGGATGTGGAGAAATAAGAACTTGCATATATTGCTGGTAGAAATGCAAAATGATGCAGCTGCTGTGAAAAAGAGTTTGGTGGATCTTCAAACAAATTCTTTTTTTTTTTTCTTGAGATGGAGTCTCGCACTGTCACCCGGGCTAGAGTGCAATGGCGCGATCTCGGCTCACTGCAATCTCTGCCTCCCAGGTTCATGCAATTCTCCTGCCTCAGCCTCCCAAGTAGTTGGGATTACAGGCGCCTGCCACCACACCCAGCTAATTTTTTGTATTTTTAGTAGAGACGGAGTTTCACTATGTTGGCCAGACTTGAACTCCTGACCTCATGATCCACCTGCCTCAGCCTCCCAAAGTGCTGGGATTACAGGCATGAGCCACCATACCTGGCCAGTTCTTCAAAATATTAAACCATGTGACCCAGATTTTCATTCCTAGGTATATACCCAAGACAAATGAAAATATATGTCCACACAGAAACGTGTACAGAAATGTTTCATAATAGCCAAAAGGTATAAACAACCCAAATGTCCATCGACAGATGAATGGATAATTGTATGTACATACAATGGAATATTATTCAGCCATAAAAAGAAGTGAAGTACTGATACATACTACAACCAGGATGAACCTCAAAAACATGCTAGGTGGAAAGCCATACACAAAAGGCCATATATTGCATTGTTCCTTTTATATGATATATCCATAATAGGCAAATCTATAGAGACAAAAAGCAGATAAGAGGTTGCAGGGGATAGAAGTAAGGGGTAATGGGGAGTGATCAGTGAATGGGGTACCAGGTGTTTTGTTGGAGTGATGAAAAATTTTGAAACTAGAGATAGCTGGTAGATGGACAACATTGTGAGTACACTACTTACCACTGAATTGTATACTTGAAGGCGGTTAGTTGTAATGTGAGTAAAAATAAAAGAATGAAATTTTTAAAAAGAAAAAACCGGGGCCGGGCATGGTGGCTCACTCCTGTAATCCCAGCACTTTGGGAGTCTGAGGCAGGGGATCACCTGAGGTCAGGAGTTCGAGACCAGCCTGGCCAACATGGTGAAACCCCATCTCTACTAAAAATATAAAAATTAGCTGGACGTGGTGGCACACACCTGTATTCTCAGCTATTCAGGAGGCTGAAACAAGAGAATCACCTGAACCCGGGAGGTGGAGGTTGCAGTGAGCCAAGATTGTGCCACTGTACTCCAGCCTGGGCGACAGAGTGAGACTCTGTCTCAAAAAAAAAAAAAAACTACTACAAGAAATTGAAAATATGAATAATTATATATCTAATACGAAAAAGAGACAGATCACGAGGTCAGGAGATCGAGACCATCTTGGCCAACATGGTGAAACCCCATCTTTACTAAAATACAGAAATTAGCCGGGCGTGGTGGCATGTGTCTGTAATCCCAGCTACATGGGAGGCTGAGGCAGGGGACTTGCTTGAACCTGGGAGGCGGAGGTGGCAGTGAGCTGAGATTGCGCCACTGCATTCCAGCCTGGGCAACAGAGCAAGACTCCGTCTCAAAAAAAAAAAAAAAGAGAGAATGTGTTTTGGGCCAGGCACGGTGGCTCATGCTGTAATCCCAGCACTTTGGGAGGCTGAGGCAGGCAGATCACAAGGTCAGGAGATGGAGACCATCCTGGCTAATATGGTGAAACCTCGTCTCTACTAAAACTACAAAAAAAATTAGCCGGGCGTGGTGGCGGGTGTCTGTAGTCCCAGCTACTCGGGAGGCTGAGGCAGGAGAATGGCGTGAACCCAGGAGGCGGAGCTTGCAGTGAGCCGAGATCACGCACTGCACTCCACGCTGGGTGACAGAGTGAGACTCCGTCTCCAAAAGAAAAGAAAGGAAAATTGAATGTATTTTTAAAACATTCCCACAATGATATTTTAAGCCAAGTAACTCATCCAAACATTTAAGGAAAAAAATACCACTCCAATATGACACTTCCAGAGAATAAAAGTGGAACAAATACTTCTCAGCTCATTTCATGAGGCCAGCATAATTGTGATTTCAAAGCCTGACAAGGATATTATGAGAAAGGAAATTATAGACCGATCCTTTTCATCAGCAAAATATTGTAAATCAAATTCAGGGATCTACAAAAAAGGTAGAATATTACAACCAAATGAGGTTTGTTCCAAGAACGAGAGTTATTTTAACATTTGAAAAGCAATCAATACAATATAGCACATTAATAGTATAATATCATAAAGCATTGATAAAATTTAATACCTATTCATGATTTTTTTTGGTAAACTAGTACTACAAGAGAACTTTCTAAAATTTGAAAGAGTATCTACAAAAAATATCTAAAGAAAACATCATACTTAATAGTGATGTATTGATAGGGACATTCACTATCACTTTTATTTAGCATCATACTGGAGGGCCTAGCTAGTCAGTGCAAAAAAAAAAAAACGGGAAAAAAGAATAAAAGAAAAGTGTATTTAGAAAAGAAGCAAATAAAGATTATAAAGGCAGTGTTTAAATTGTGATTATATGCAGACAACATAATTGTGTACATTAAAAAATCCAAAAGTTTTTACAGAGAAACTATTTAGAATTAGCAAGCCACCAGATACAGGATCAATATACAAAAATTACTTTTTTCCATATAGGTAGCAAGAAATAATTAGAAAATAAAGATTTTTTTCAACACTATTTACAGTAGCATCAAAAATTACCAAATGTCTAGGAGAAATGTGTAAGAGAAAAATTAAAGCTGTAAATAAAGAAATAATGTTCATAGGTTAGACACTCAGTCTTGCAAAGATGTCAGTTCTTCCTCAGTTGGTCTGTGAATTTTGTACATTCTTACTCAAAACCCCAAGAGGGTTTTTTTTTTTTTCTGGTGGAAATTGAAATCTATATGGAACTGCAGAGAACCAAGAATAACCAAGCCAGTCATTCAAAAGAATAAAACTTGAGGACTTTTGCTACCAGACCCCAAAACCTGTTTTAAAGCAACAGTATTAAGAGAAAGTGCTGTTCACCAAGCACCCAGATCTCAAGTTCTAAATACTTTTCTCCAATAAAAGGAATTAGGGTTCCTTGGAAGAAGTGGCTAACCCCAGGGCTGGAACACAGAACATATAAAATGAGCCTGAAACAAACATCTTTTGGTGCCAGTAAATACGGAAATGCATGGGAAAGGATGGGGGCTTGTTGAAAGAACACAAGAGTCAGCCTGAAGGACTCAAGGCCAATCAATTTGAGCAACAAAAAGTAGTGATCATATTGAACTGTAACTCATAGATTACAACCAATATCCATGAGTCTAGACTGATAGAAATAAATAATTGCACAAATAAATGAAGAAGCACATCTCTTCCCATAGATTAAGACCAATGTCCATTAGTCTAGACTGATAGAAATAAATAATTGCACAAATAAATGAGGAAGCACATCTCTTCCTTATAGAAGATTTCCAGTTAATAAATGTGCAAGGAATTAGAGAACTACAAAACCACCATTAGAGTTTAGGCAAACACTACAGTAATTATTGCAAGCAAGGTGGATGCTAAAATCAGTGGGCAAAAGCTTGAGAAAATAATAGAGTATATGTATAATTTCAGCGTGTCTCCCTCAAGATACACTACAGTGGAGAAACCCAGTGGACACTATCTTAACCAATCTTAAATTGAAATCTTCAAATTCCACCAAGAAAGAATGATCATACTTAATATGTCAAAATCTTGAAAGACAAGGAAAGACTAAGGAACTCTCAACAAATTAGAGGTGGCTGGCCTGGTGCGGTGGCTCACGCCTGTAATCCCAGCACTTTGGGAGGCCAAGGCAGGCGGATAACGAGGTCAGGAGATTGAGACCATCCTGGCTAACACGGTGAAATCCTATCTCTACTAAAAATACAAAAAAAATTAGCCGGGCATGTTAGTGGGTGCCTGTAGTCCCAGCTACTTGGGAGGCTGAGGCAGGAGAATGGTGTGAACCCAGGAGGCGGAGCTTGCAGTGAGCCGAGATCATGCCACTGCACTCCAGCCTGGGCTACAGAGCGAGACTCTGTCTCCAAAAAACAAACAAAAAATTAAAAGTGGCTAAGGAGACATAACTAGATGCAAGATGGGATCCTGGATTGGATAATAGAACAGGAAAAGGACATGAGAGAAAGAACTGGTAAAATTCAAATAAGGTCTGTAGTTTAGTTAATAATATATCAATGTTATATCAATACTAATATATCAATGTTAATTTAATGGTTTTGATAATTGTACTATGGTTGTATAAAATGTGGACATAGTATATACAACTATGGTTATATAAATGTGAAAGCTGGTAGAAAGGTATATGTGAATTCTATTTTTTGCAACTTTTCTGTCTAAAATTATTTCAAAATAAAAGTTTTTAAAATAGCATGATATTGACACAAGGTACATTGGTTGCTTAGTGTTGCTGTAACAAAGTGCCACAAATTGGGTAACTTAAAACAAGAGCAATGTAATTTCTTACAATTGTGAAGGCTAGAAGAGTTCAAATGTAAAGTGCTGGCAGAGCCATGCTTCCTCTGAAGGCTCTAGGAGAGAGTCTTTCTTGCCTCTTCCTAGCTTCCAGTGAGTACCAGAAAGCCTTGGCATTCCTTGGCTTGTAGCTGCCTCACTTCAGTCTCTGTCTCTGTGTTCACATGGCCTTCTTTTCCGTCTGTCTCTGCATATCCTCTCCTCTTCTTATAAGGATAGCAGTCAAATTGAATTTAGGGCTCATCTTAATCCAATATAACCTCATCTTAACTAACTAATAATCTGAAAAGACCCTATTTTCAAATAAGGTTATATTCTGAGGTTCCAGTTTGACATGAATTGGGAGCTGAGGCGGACACATTCATCACTATACAAGGATAGGCAAATAGACCAATGGAGCAGAATAATAGCAGCTCTAGAAATAGACCGACATATTCAATACACCTGATTTACAACAGATGTGTCACTGCAGTGCAGTGGGGAAAGGGGAGAATCTTTTCAATAAATGATGGTGAGGCAAATGAAAGTCTATATGAGGATAAAAAGCTACCTCACAGCATACATAAAGACCAATTTCAGATGGATCATAGACCTACATTTGTTAGGTAAAACAACAAATTGTTTTCACAACATACTCAGGAGAATATCTTCATAGTTTTGGGATAGGCAAAGATTTCTTTAATGGGACATAAAAAGAACTAACCTAATTGGGAAAAGTTGATAAATTAGACTTCATTTAAATTTAAAAATTTTTCAGACTTAACCTACAAAGATGTGAACACCTAGAACTCTCATAAACTACCCATAGAAGTAAAATTGTTATGAGTACTTTATTTTTTTTTATGACAGGATCTCACTCCGTCACCCAGGCTGGAGTACAGTGGCACAATCCCAGCTCACTGCAGCCTTCACCTCCCAGGCTCAAGCAGTCCTCCCACCTCAGCCTCCCGAGTAGCTGGGACCACAGGCCACACGCCACCATGCCCAGCTAATTGTATTTTTTGTACAGATGAGGTTTTGCCTTATTGCCCAGGCTGGTCTCGAACTCCTGGGCTCAAGCGATCCTCCTGCCTCAGCCTCCCAAAGTGCTGGGATTACAGGCATGAGCCACTGTGTCCGGCCAGGGTGAGTACTTTTATTTTTTTCAAGACAAAGTCTCACTATGTCACCCAGGCTGGAGTGCAGTGGCATGATCTCGGCTCACTGCAACCTCCGCCTCCTGGGTTCAAGTGATTCTCCTGCCTCAGCCTCCCAAGTAGCTGGGATTACAGGCATGTGCCACTATGCCTGGCTAATTTTTGTATTTTTAGTAGATTCGGGGTTTCTCCCTGTTGACCAGGCTGGTCTCAAACTCTTGACCTCAGGCCATCCGCCTGCCGCGGCCTCCCAAAGTGCTAGGATTACAGGCGTGAGCCACGGTGCCCAGCCTCGGTGTGAGTACTTTGAACCAGCAGTTCTACTCCCGGGTATATACTTAACAGAAATGAGTATATATGTCCACTAAAAGACATGTAGAATTTGTGTATCAGCTTTAATAATAGCCTCAAACAGGAAGTAATTAAATATTCATCAGCAGTAAAATGGATAAATAAATGGTATTATATTCATACAATGGAATACTGTATGTCAGTCAGAAAGACAATTACTACAACAATATGGAAGAATCTCACAAGGCATTGTAGACTGAAAGAAACCAAACACAAAAGAGTATATACCAAACGATCCATTTACATGAAGTTCAAAAACAGGCATAATTAATCTACAGTGTTAGAAATCAGGATAGTGCTACCTCTGGGGCATGGATATTGATTAGGAAGGATCATTTTAGAGGGCTCAGGTGTGCTGGAAATGTACCATGTCTTGATATGAGCAACAGTTATCCTGGTATGTACATTTTTTAAGATTTTGAGCTGTATACTTAAGGTTTTTATACTTCATTGGATGTATGTTATACTTAAATTTTTTCTAATTAAGAAAAAATATAAATATTATTGAAATAAGTAGACTGTCGGTATAAAAAGAATTGAGTCATCTTACGTTTGGGTAACATTTCATGGTTCCCTGGGCACTTTCACATAGCATGTTAAGAGATACATCATTTGGGTGTATTTCAGGGTAAAGATTCTAATTTATATCATTTGAGCCATAAATGTTATAAATTAATACCAAAATCAGCAACTTTTTATTTTTCTTCAAGTTACTATGTTGGAAATCTCAATATTGCATTACTAATTTCTGTCTTTTAGGCTAAGACATCAAGCACACAAAGAATTTTATGCCTACAAACAGGTGAGAAATTTAATTCAGATTGGCTTTGATTTTTTTTTTCCCCCCAAAAAACTGAGAACTCTGATTTCCACTCATACGTTAAACTGGGACTGAATTTACTTGTGTTCATTTTAGCATCTCACTGCCAATTTGCAGTATAATATATCAACTTCATTTTCTTAAGTATTCTTCTCTTCTTTTTTTTTTTTTTGAGACGGAGTTTCGCTCTTGTTGCCCAGGCTGGAGTGCAATGGCGTGATCTCGGCTCACAGCAACCTCCGCCTTCCAGGTTCAAGCTATTCTCCTGCCTCAGCCTCCCAAGTAGCTGGGATTACAGGCATGCGCCACCACGCCTGGCTAATTTTGTATTTTTAGTAGAGACGGGGTTTCTCCATGTTGGTCAGGCTGGTCTCGAACTCTGGACCTCAGGTGATCCGCCCGCCTCGGCCTCCCAAAGTGCTGGGATTACAGGCGTGAGCCACTGTGCCCAGCTTTTCTCTTCTTTTGTAAGCATTACTTGAAGCTGTAGAAAGTTCAGATGATATAATTTAACAGGAAACTTGAGCCAACAGATTGCTAAAGAGAAATGCTATAGCTTGTAATTCTTAAAGTTACTGTCGACTTAATGGAGTTCTGAGATACCATTAAGTGAAATTTTTCCTTCCTTCTTTATTAGAAGACATAGCAGTTCCTCGGAGGTGAGCGACCAGCTGTGTTACAGTGATCTCATCTACTCCCTTTTGTACTTTAAATGTTAGCTCATATTATCCACTAGAAGTCTGCAAACTTGGATCATAGCTGTCAATACCTAGTCCTTCACTGATTTTGTCTTTAAGTTAATACACTTATCTTTTCTCAAAGGCCAAGTAAAATTATTTTTTTCTTCCAAACAGGGGGCCTAGATTTTCCTTTGGCTCTAAGCATGAAATTCTTAATTTTTGTTACCCTTAGCTTTCTTCTTGGGTACAGGGGAGCTTCAGCTTATTTGAGTCTTTAACCTTGCTGACGCTGATGTTATGGAACTGTAACACTTCAGAACTGCGTATCTTGTTTTTGTTTGTTTTTGAGACGGAGTCTCGCTCTGTCGCCAGGCTGGAGTGCAATGGCAAGATCTCAGCTCAATGCAACCTCCGCCTCCCGGGTTCAAGTGATCTCCTGCCTCAGCCTCCCAAGTAGCTGGGACGACAGCCATCTATCTGCCACAACGCCCAGCTAATTTTTGTATTTTTAGTAGAGACAGGATTTCACCATGTTGGCCAGGATGGTCTTGATCTCTTGACCTCGTGATCCACCCACCTCGGCCTCCCAAAGTGCCAGGATTACAGGTGTGAGCCACCGCGCCCAGCCAGGACTGCTTATCTTTCTGTTCATCTTTCGTCCATGTATGTTTGAAATCTGAGCTCACTGGCACATTCCCTAGATGGACATACTGATGTCCTTAGGTAACCCCACACTCTTACAGGTCTCATGTGGGATCCAAAATCAGAGTTGAGTATTTTAGTTTTCTAAATGAATGAATCTTTTTGTCTCAGTCCTATCATAATCTTTTTTTTTTTTTTTTTTTGACGGGGTCTCTGTCACCCAGACTGGAGTGCAGTGGCATGATCACAGCTCACTGCAGCCTTGACCTCCCTGGGCTCAGGTGATCCTCCCACCTTAGCTGAGTGTGGTGGCATGCATAGCTGGGGCTACAGGCGCACACCACCACCCCCGGCTAATTTTTGTACTTTTTGTAGAGATGGGGTCTCCCCATGTTGCCCAGACTCCTATCATAATCTGTTTTGTTTTGTTTTGTTTTGTTTTGAGACAGGGTCTCGCTTCTGTCACGCAGGCTGGAGTGCAGTGGTGCAATCTCAGCTCACTGCAACCTCTGCCTCCTGGGCTCAGGTGAGCCTCCCAAGTAGCAGGGATTACAGGCGTGCACCACCACACCTGGCTAATTTTTGTATTTTTTGTAGAGACAGGGTTTTGCCATGTTGCCTAGGCTGGTCTTAAACTCCTGGGATCAAGCAGTCCGCCCACCTCGGCCTCCCAAAGTGCTGGGATTGCAGGCATGAGCTACCGTGCCTGGCCACGTATTATAATCTTGACAGCTTACAAGATATTTGTATGTAGGCTAACTAGAAAGTAAAATTGGCCTTTGCAGTCATTTAAGTGAAATTGACTGATAAAACTAGACAAGTCACAAGACATACAGTAAATTTGATCTTTAAAATATACTGGATAGGAAATTTAGTATATCCCTGTGAGGCCTTATAGTAGCTTCTGGTGTGATTTCTGAAAACAGGATTTACCCTCAAATCCATTTTTAGTTCAGGAATGTAAGACACCAAAATTTAGAGATTTTCCCTCAAATTTTACTTGCCTATTTTCTTCACTTTAAGATGAAATATAACTCTAATAAGCTATATTTAGTCTCAGAGTTTTTTCTTAAATAGTAAACTTCCTTCTTATCACTTGGCATTCATTTTAACTACTGTCTGGTCACCACGGAGTCAAAACTTTCAAAATTAAGATTGACTTACTTTTTTTTTTTTTTTTTGAGACGGAGTTTCGCTCTTGTTGCCCAGGCTAGAGTGCAATGGCACGATCTCGGCTCACTGCAACTTCCGCCTCCTGGGTTCAAGTGAATCTCCTGCCTCAGCCTGCCGAGTAGCTGGGATTATAGGCAGGCGCCACCACATCCAGCTAATTTTTGTATTTTTAGTAGAGACAGGGTTTCACTATGTTGACCAGGCTGGTCTCAAACTCCTGACCTCAGGCGACCCACCCGCCTTGGCATCCCAAAGTGCTGGGATTACAGGTGTGAGCCACTATGCTCGGCCAAAATTCCTTTTTTAGGAGAATATTGCATCATTGCTCAAGTTAAAAAAATGTTGCTAAAATGATCTGTCTCAAACTGTAAAAGAAATTCCCTTCAATATTGAATATGAGGGAAATGAGCCATATATACAAAAGAAAAATATTTGAGAATATAATGAGAAATATTTAAAGTTACAGATTTAAATGGGCATAAGAACATACTTTTTTGTCTTACAGGTTATATTAAAAGAGAAAGTAAAAGAATTGAATTTACATGAGGTAAGTTGATGATAAGTAAATCCTCTTGAGCCATTTTCTAGTAGCAGTGGTATGCTGTGGTATGTTTAAACACTTTTATTCTCAGTAGTTGAAAAAAATAGGCTTATTTTGATTGGGGTAATAGAATATTTCAGGGTGAGGTCACATAAAAATCAATTGTGTGAAGGCTTTACGAGAGTAATATAACTCATACTTTTAATAGTGATGACACCATTATAAAATTTCATAGCAGTAGGGATGCTGCTTGCCGTCCATGCTGTATGAATAGGAAACAGATACGTTAGTTTTTCTACTCAAGGTGAGTATGTACTAATTTCCCCATTGAAAATGTTCCCAATATTTCTTTCTTACCAATGGTACAAAAAAGAGAGCAGTTATCTCATGGGGGTAGGGATTGAAGAAGGTAAGACATACGGAACAGGGGAAGAACACACAGGTAGCGATATGAATCCTTGGGATTGTTTAGCTCTTCGGTTGCATGGTTGGGACATAGGTGCTTTGTAACTTAAGTACAAACTTGGGTGTGTATATCCTGCTGTATACATTAAGATACATAGCCTATAAGAATTCTTTTTCATTCTATTTCTTGTGTTGCCTCTGACTACAAACTTTCAGAATTTTTATTTTTTATCACCCTTTCCTTCTCCCTTTCTGGGTTTTCTAATTGGTGTTTAAAGCAAGGACTTGAAAAGCTGTGTGTTGTAATAGCAGTGTCGCATATAGCCTAGCTGTGGTGAAGCTAAATTGCCAGTCTCTTCAAAGAAAGTTAATTTGTTAGGTTTTTTGAATCATAATAAAAATAATCATATTATTGTTAAATATTTTGAAATCATCTATTGGTCCTTTGCTCTTTCTGCATATTTTTCATCAAAGAATTGATATGTTTCTGTTTAATGGCATTTTAGACCTAGCCTTGGATTAAACTGAAGCATTAATTACTGTTTGATTTTTTTTTTTTTTTTTTTTTGAGACGGGGTCTTACTCTGTCATCCAGGCTGGAGTGCAATGGTGCAATCTCCGCTCACTACAAACTCCGCCTCCTGGGCTCAAGCGATTCTCCTGCTTCAGCCTGTCGAGTAGCTAGGATTATAGGCATGCGCCACCACACCCAGCTAATTTTTGTATTTTTAGTAGAGACGGGGTTTCACCATGTTGGCCAGGCTGGTCTTGAACTCCTGACCTCACGTAATCCACCCACCTCGGCCTCCCAAAGTGCTGGGATTACAAGCGTGAGCCACGGCAGCCGGCCACTGTTTGATTTTTTACTTTTCCTAGAAGTTAATTTTGACACATGGCCAAAATTAACATGAAATAATAAAAGTGGTCTGTTTCCCATTTGGAGTCTTTTTGATGACCGTAAATGAAAAGATTAAATTTTTACCAGATTAATCCAGAACAGAAGTCTTCCTTACTGGTGTGACCTGTTAGTTTAGAAACTTTGTCCTGAATAAATACATTGTGTGTTGCATCAGTATGTATCATAGTTAGTATCCAACTACACCCACCAATTCCTGTTTCGCTGGTCATTTGTATCTAGTCTTGGATTTTTTTCACCATAGTATCCCCAGCTTTGGTTATGGTGAGTTGCTTTCTTCATTGAAATTCTTTTGCACCTTTTTCAAAAATCAAATAGCCATATTTTTTGTGACTGTATTTCTGGATTCTCCATTATATTCTCTTGATTTGTGTGCCTGTTTCTTCATCAGTACCACACTGTCTTGATTATTAATAGCTTTATAGTAAATCTTAAAATCAGGCAGTGTGATTCTTCCAACCTCATTCTTTTCCAAAATTGTTTTAGCTAGTCTGGTTCCTTGACCCTTCCATGTAAATTGTAGCATCAGCTCATCTGTATCCACAAAAAAAAAAAAAAAATCCTGCTGGGATTTTGATTTATATTGCATTAACTCTATAAATGTGTTTGGAGAGAATTGACCTTTACCATGGTGAGTCTTCTGACCTGTGAATACATTATGTCTATTTATTTATTTGAAGCTCTGTTGTTAGTTGTATACACATTGAATATCTTCTTGGTGAACTGACCCTTTTGTCAAGGTCTCTCGCCGGGCTGGGTGGCTCACACCTATAATCCCAGCACTTTGGGAGGCCAAGGCAGGAGGATCACCTGTGGTCAGGAGTTCAAGACCAGCCTGGCCAACATGGTGAAACTCCATCTCTACCAAAAATACAAAAATGAGCCAGGCGCGGTGATGGACACCTGTAATCCCAGCTACTCGGAAGGCTAAGGTAGGAGAATCACTTGAACCTGGAGGCAGAGGTTGCAGTGAGCTGAGATCGTGCCATTGCACGCCAGCATGGGCAACAAGAATGAAACACTATCTCAAAAAAAAAAAAAAACTGTCTTCATCCCAGGTAAATTCCTTTGCTTTGAAATATTTGTCCAGGCCAGGCGCGGTGGCTCACGCCTGTAATCCCAGCACTTTGGGAGGCCGAGGCAGGCGGATCACAGGGTCAGGAGATCGAGACCATCCTGGCTAACATGGTGAAACCCCGTCTCTACTAAAAATACAAAAAAATTAGCCGGGCGTGGTGGTGGGTGCCTGTAGTCCCAGCTACTCAGGAGGCTGAGGCAGGAGAATGGCATGAACCTGGGAGGCGGAGCTTGCAGTGAGCTGAGATCACGCCACTGCACTCCAGCCTGGGTGACAGAGTAAGACTCCGTCTCAAAAAATATATATATTTGTCCAGGCCGGACACGGTGGTTCACACTTGTAATTCCAACTTTTTGGGAGGCTGAGGTGGGAGGATTGCTTGAGCCCAGGAGTCCAAGATCAGCCTGGGCAACATAGTGAGACCTCATCTCTGCAAAAAAAAAAAAAATTAACTGGGCCTGGTGGCACACATGTATAGTCCCAGCTACTTAGGAGGCTGAGGTGGGAGGATTGCTTGAGCCCAGGAGGTTTAGGCTGCAGTGAGCCAAGGTTGTGCCACTGTACTCCAGCCTGGGTGACAGGGCAAGAACCTACCTCAAAAAAAAAAAAATATTTTTCTGATATTAATATAGCCATTCCAGCTTCCTTTTGATTGTTTGCATGGTATGTGTATTTCCACCTTTTTCTTTTCTTTTTTTTTTTTCTTTTTTGAGATAGAGTCTAGCTCTACTGCCCAGGCTGGAGTGCAGTGGTACAATCTTGGCTCACTGCAACCTCCGCCTCCTGGGTTCAAGCAATTCTCCTGCCTCAGCCTCCCAAGTAGCTGGGATTACAGATGTCCACCACCACGCCCAGCTAATTTTTGTATTTTTAGTAGAGATGGGGTTTCACCATGTTAGCCAGGCTGGTCTTGAACTCCTCACCTCAGGTGATCTGCCCCCCTCGGCCTCTTAGGTGCTGGGATTACAGGCGTGAGCCACCATGCCCAGCTTCATCTTTTTATTTTCAATCTACCCATTGAATTATATTTGAAGTGAGTTTTCTTGTAGACAGCATAGTTGGGTCATGTTTCTTTATCCACTCTGCCAATATGTCTTTTAATTGGTATGTATAGATCATTTACATTCAGTGCAATTGCTGATACATTTAGAATTAGGTTTACCATTTTTTTTTGTCTTCTGCTTTTCTCTCTCTTTTTCATTCTCTATTTTCCTTTTCTTGCCTTCTTTTGGGTTATTAGAACATTTTTTAGTACTTCATTTTAATTTATCTGTTGTGATTTTTACTTTATGTCTTTGTATAGTTTTTTAGTGGTTGCTCTAGGGATTACCAAATAAATATTTAGAATTAGTTTTTTAACACTCTAGTTGGATTGTAGAGACCTTGCCACAATATGGATCCCTTTTCCTTCCCCTCTTTGTGCAATATCTATCATATTACGTCTATATACATTGAAAAATCCCATCATTATATGTCTTTTCCCCATCAGACATGTTTTTAAAAACTCAAAAGGCAGGCATCTGCCTGGAGTCCAGAAGATCGAGACCAGCCTGGGCAACATGGCAAAACCCCATTTCTACAAAAAATACAAAAACTTACAGGTAGCACATACCTGTAGTCCCAGCTACTCAGGAGCCTTAAGTGGAAAGATCACCCAAGCCTGGGAGGTCGACGCTACAGTGAGCCAAGCCTTGATTGCGCCACTGCACTCAAGCGTAGGTGACAGAGTGAGGCCTGGTCTCAAAAAAATAAGAAAACCTTCACGGAGGAACAGCCTTATATTAATCCAGGTTTTTACCATTTCTGTTGCTATGCATTCCCAGTGTTTCAAGTTTCCTTCTTATGTCATTTCTCTTTTATCTTCATAATGAACTTTCCTTTAGTAATTTTCTTAAAGCAGGTCTTCTGGCTATGAATTCTGTTAGTTTGCCTTCATCTGAGAATGTTTTTATTTCACCTTCATTCCTGAAGAATATTCTTGTATATGGAACTCCAGGTTGACAGTTTTTATGCCTCTTCCTTCTGGCCCTCCATGATTTCTGATGAGAAATCAGGTCACTTGAATCATTCATCCCTTACCAGTAATGTATCACTTTCTCTGGCTGCTTTTAAGATTTTTTTCTTTTTCTTTAGTTTTCAGCAATTTATGATATGTCTAGGCATGGATTTATTTGGATTTATCCTGTTTGCAGTTTACTCAGCTTCATAAATATATAGGTTTTTTTGCCAAGCATGGGAAGTTTTTAGCCATTATTTCTATAAATGTTTTTTCTGCATTTCACTCTTTCTCTCTCCTGGAACTCCAGTGACACAAATGTTAGACCCTTTGTTGTTGTTCCACAAGTCCTGGAGAGTTTTTTTTTTTTTCAGTAATTTTTTCTCTGTTGTTCAGACTGAGTAATTTCCAGTGTTCTGTCTTCTAGTTCACTGATTCTTTCCTCTATCCCCTCCATTCTGCTGTTGAGCCCATCCATTAAGTTTTTTTATTGTGATTATTCTGTTGTTTGAGTTCTAAAATTTTCATTCAGCCGCACATGGTGGCTCACAGCTATAATCTTAACACTTTGGGAGACCAAGGTGGAAGGATTGCGTGAGCCCAGGAGTTCAAGACCAGCCTGGGCAACATAGAGAAACCCCGTCTCTACTAAAAATACAAAATTAGCTGGGTGTGGTGGTGCATGCCTGTAACCCCAGCTACTCAGGAGGCTGAGGCAGGAGGATCACTTGAACCCAGAAGGCAGAGGTTGTGGTGAGCTGAGATCACACCATTGTACTCCAGTGTGGGCAACAAAAGCGAAACTCCACCTCAAAAAAAAAATTTTTTTTTCGTTTGTAATAGCATCAAAAATAAGATACCTAGGAATAAATTTAACAAAAGAAGCCCAGATTTATATGCTGAAAACTATAAAACGTTGAAAAGATAATAAAACCTAAATAATTGGGATGACATCCCATGTTCATTGGTTAGAAAATGTAATATTGGTAAGTTGGCAGTAATATCCAAAGTATTTACCAAATCATCTTTTTCAAAATCCTATCTGCCCTTTTATGCACAAATTGACAAGCAGATGAATTCTGAAATTCCCATGGAAATGTAAAGGATCCAGAATAGCCAAAAGAATCTTGAAAAAGAAGAACAGAGTTAGAGAACTCACACTTTCCAATTTCAAAACTTACTATACAAAGCTACAGTTTTTAATACATGTGACACAGGTATATTGATAGCTATATAGATCAGTGGAATAGAACTGCAAGTCCAAAAATAAATTCAAACATTTATGGTCAGTTGATTTTCAACAAGGGTGCCAAGACAATTCAGTGGGAAAAGAATAGTCTTTTCAATCAGTGGTGCTGGGACAACTGGATATCTACATGCAAAAGAATAAATTTAGACATCTACCTCATACTATATACAAAGATTACTCAAAAGTTAATCAAAGACCTAAATGTATCAGCTAATATTATAAAACTCTCAGACATAAACATAGGTGAGCCCAGTGCCATGACACATGCCTGTAATCCCAGCTCCTCAGGGGGCTGAGGGGGAAGCTCCCTTGAGTCCAGGAATTTGAGACCAGCCTGGGCAACATAGCAAGACTCTGTCTCTAAAAAACAAAAAGGAGAAATAAACATAGATGTATAAATCTTCATAGCTGTGGATTGGGTAATGGATTCTTAGATATGACATCTAAAGCACAAGCAAGCTAAGAAAAAATAGTTAAACTTCATCAGGCCAGCCATGGAGGCTCACTCCTGTAATCCCAACACGTTGGGAGGCCAAGACGAGAAGATTGCTTGAGCTCAGGAGTTTGAGACCAGCCTGGGCAACATAGCTAGGAGACCTTATCTCTACTTACAAAAAAAAAAATTAGTTGGGTGTCGTGATGTGTGCCTGTAAGTCCCAGCTATTTGGGAGGTTGAGGCTTGAGGAGCTGGAGGATTGCTTGAGATCAGGAGATTGAGGCTGCAGTGAGCTATGATGGCACCAGTGCACTCCAGCCTGGGTGACAGAGCAAGACTGTCTCAAAAAAAAAATTAAAAACTTTTGTGCTTCAAAGGACATTATCTTGAAAGTGAAGGCAACCCACAGGGACAAAGTATTCACAAGTTTTATATCTGATAAGGGTCTTGTATTTAAGATGTATAAAGAACTCTTAGAACTCAGTAATAAGAAGCCTGCAAAATAAAAAGGTCTGCAAATATTTTCTCCCAGTCTTTTCATCCTAACAGGGTCTTTTGTAGAACAAAAGTTTTTTAATTTGATCAAGTCCAGTTTATCCATTTTTTCCTTTGGTTTCTTTGCTTAGGTTGTGCTTTGGTTGTGCTTAGGTTGTGTTTCTGCTTAGGCTGCGTGTGTCTTTTGTGTCTATGAATGTGTAGTGCTCTAACATCATTTGTTGAAAAGGCTTTCCTTCTGCCATTGAAATGCTTTTTGCACCTTTGTCAAAATTAGTTGGCTATCTGATAAGGGAGTTCAGTCTAAAATATATAAAGAACTCTTACCACTTAATAATAAAAAGAAACCAACTAATAAATTGACAAAGGACTTAATAGGCATTTCTCCAAAGAAGATATGTGGTGGTCAATAAGCACGGCATCATTAGTCATTAAGGAAATGACCCATTTACACCCATTATGATAACTATAGTAAAAAAGACAAGAATAAGTATTGGTGATGATATGGAGAAATTACAACCCATACGTACTGCTGGTAGGAACGTAAAATGGTGCAGCCGCTTTGGAAATCGGTTTGGTAGCTCCTCAAAAAGGTAAACATAGAGTTACCATATGACCCAGCAATTCCACTCCTTGATACATACCCAAAAGAACGTAAACAAGGACTCAGCCAGATACTTGTACACCAGTGTTTATAGCAGTATTGTCCACAATAGCCAAAAGGTAGAAACAACCCAGGTGGCCATCAATAGATAAATGGGTAAACAAAATGCGGTACATACATACAGTGGAATATTATTCAGCCATGAAAATGAGTGAAGTACTGATATATGTTACAATATAGATGAACCTTGAAGACATTATGCTAAGGGAAAGAAGCCAAACATGAAATATTACATATTGTATGGTTCCATTTATATGAAATGTCCCGAGTAGACAAATCCATCAATAAAGAAAGTAGATTAGTGGTTGGTTGCCAGAGATTGGGGAAAGGGGAGAATGGGGAATGACTGCCTATGAATATGGGCTTGTTTTGGGGGGTGGGTGGGTGGCATTTGATGCAAATGTTCTGGAATTAGATTGTAAAGATGGCTGCACATATATACCTAAAAACTGCTGAATTGTACTGTTACTTAAAGGAGTGAATATTATAGTAGATTAATTGTATCTCAGTTTTTTAATGGTGATGGGAAGTCACACTGGAGAAACAATCTCATTGAATACTGGAAACAAAAGTTTATTTGCAAAATATGAACTGTAAAGGAAAGTTGTAAAATGAGTTTGGCTCTTAGGGAGCTTCTAGGAAGTCATCTGAGGCTTTTCTCTTTTTGTGATTGCCATTGACTTTGGTCACCTTTAGCATTTAACGTGTCAGAGTTTGTCTTGTTTTTTCTCAGGTGGCTATAGTTTTAGGATCTGTTTATTCAGAACATAATAGCACATTATACCATTAATAGTAACTCCATTTTGGGGCTGGGCGCAGTGGCTCACACCTGTAATCCCAACACTTTGGGAGGCTGAGTCAGGCGGATCACAAGGTCAAGAGATCGAGAGCATCTTGGCCAACATGGTGAAACCCTGTCTCTACTAAAAATATAAAAAATTAGCCGGGTATGGTTGGCATGCACCTGTAGTCCCAGCTATTCGGGAGTCTGAGGCAGGAGACTCACTTGAACCCAGGAGGCGGAGGTTGCGGTGAGCTGAGATCGCACCACTGCACTCCAGCCTGGCGACAGAGCAAGACTCCATCTCAAAAAGAAAAAAAGAAACTCCTGTTTGGAAAGGCTACTAATCTAATTTTGGATCCTGGAAAAATAAGTGAATAAAAATAAGCAACTCATCCAACCTGTGCTTCAACAGGATCAGTGCTAAATCTCCAGAGGACAGTCCTGACCCTGTGTCGGAAGGCGGGGCTGAGAGGAAAACTGGCTGTTGAAGGCCAGAGGGCCAATCACACAGTCTAGGAGATGGGAGCATCATTCCCTCTTTACAGGTGGGAAGCTGAGGCCCAAAAAGATACCACTAGGCTGAAACTGCTGGATTTTTACCTTTACCCACAGCTTGTTCTCAGCCTCCCTTCAGAGGACAAAAATGGGCTTGCAAACAGTACTTCCATTATAAAATGTAGACATCAATAAAAACAGCTGGCATTGGTAGACTGCCTTACTGTGTCCTTAACCCTACCCCCCAAGCTGAGCTGATGACAGCCGTGTGTAGGGTGGGACAGGCCATGTCCTTATTGTACAGATGAAGGAACAGAGCTCTGTGAGGAATCCTGAGGGCAGAGGCCACACAGCTAGTGTGTCTGAGCCAAGGCCAGCCACCTGTCCTGCTCTCCTCCCTGCTCCCCTGCCATCTTGGTAGGGATGCTGAGTCCAACAGAGCACAGTTATCCATTCTCCTCCTGTGAAGGTCCTGTCTGTCATACACACAAGGCCCTGAAAGCTACCTCAGCAAGGATGTTTAAAAACCAACATGGCACGGTTCACTGGGCACCAAGAGCCACATGTCCTGCCTGGATCATGTTACATAATCTAAGAAGACTGGGTTACGTGTTATAGGTTAAGAAACTAGTAACAGCAAAGCCATCAACAGTCCAGGCTAGAAATGGTGATGGCCTGAACCAGGATCCTTGGGAATGGACAGGGAAGCAAGTAGGGAGAAAGGAGTTCAACCACTGGGCAGGAGAAAGCAATGGCACAACAGCACATCAGTGCAACAGACCTGGGTCCCAGCCAGGCCTGGCCACTCTCCAATTAAATGGCCTCAAGCAACATTATTTTCCTGAGCTTCTGTTTCCTCATCGGTAAAATGGGTCAGTGTGGTGACACATGGTATCCACGGGCCCTGGTGAATGCCCAGGAAAGTGTTGGAACCCAGCCCCTGGGTACGATGGCAAAGGCCTCTCTCCAAGCCATGGAGACTAGTCATTGGCTGAGAGCAGTCCTGGTCCCATCTGCACATGTTCATGAGTTAACTGAGTCTTCAGTAACTTTTTATATGACAGAGACACTGACAGAAGGACAGTGCCAAAGTGGGAGGCCCCAGGAACTATAAATAGCATGTTACTGCAAGCTGTGCATAAAAACAGGAGAAAAGATTGCCAGGGCTTGAGCGGTCCCTTTCAGTGAGTGCTTGGGAGCCAGGCTGTGCTGCTGACAAGGTGGAGAACCCAGAGAGCCTCAGCTCTTTCGGCACACCAGGAAAGGGACAGCAGGCTAAGCTGGCAGATGTGAGAGTAACCCTCCCTCGGTCCCACACTTCTGATGCACTGAAGTAAAGGCAGCTGCCTCTTGCTTTCTGTCTTCTCCCATCTGCCCACCTCCTTGAAGATATGGGACAGGAAGAGCAGGAGACATTCATCTATTTTGGCCTGTTTCTTTTCAGTCATTTATTCATTCATTTCTTTTTTTTTTAAGATAAGAGTCTCATGAGTCCCTTCAAACGGTTGAGCCTTTAGGAGCCTGCACTCTACTTTGTACCTGGGAGGGTACTTAACAGACACTTGGCTTCATTTGTGCATTTGTCTTTCAGCTCTGTGCAGTGTGCCTAGAAGACTTCAAGCCTCGAGATGAGTTGGGGATTTGCCCATGTAAGCACGCCTTCCACAGAAAGTAAGTATTGGTATGGAATTACTTAATGGGACCCGAGTTTGAGGCACATCAACCAACTTCTTTTGGGTTTTAGGGCAGTGCCAGACAAGCTTGATGGCTTCATGATTGGTCTGTAATGCAGAAAGCTGACAGCACCCTACAGGTGGGATGTGTGTGTGTGTGCGTGACATTAGGAGACAGCAGAGTGGTGGAACGTGACCACCACGTCAGGACTATGGGCAGAGAGCCAAAATGAGCCTACACTTGGAGCCCAAGCAATAAACAGCTATTTAGCTGGAACTTTCCACTGAGAGCCTCATCTCCTAAAAACTTATTTAAATCAAAACCATAGTTATTTAAAATCAAAATAAAGTCTGGATATAAATGGTAGTGTGGGGCACTCTCCTCCCACTTCCTGCAGACATATTAATATTCTTCCTCTTATAATTTTTTGTTTTGTATTTCTGTTAGAAAAATTTATTTTCCTACTTCTCACATCCCTGCTCAGTGTATTTTGTTCTTGTAAGAAGTCATGGGTAACTGAGAGTATCACATACTATCTGTGGCTTCACACGTGGAAGATGGGAGGCTCTGGAAGGAAGAGGGGATTGCTGACCCCTTGGCCTCTCCCCACTCCTTCTCTCTGTCTCTTCCCTCTCTCCAGGGGGTGACATCCGTTCACCACCTAGGAGGGGAGCTCCTTGGACCATACAGCAGACGTTGTCTGGGTGACAGATATGGAGATGTTCAGCAGAACAGCCGTGCCATGAGCATAGGACTGACATCTTCCCCCTGTGGTGTCTCCTTCTGCAGGTGCCTTATTAAGTGGCTGGAGGTTCGTAAAGTGTGTCCCCTGTGCAACATGCCAGTTCTACAGCTGGCCCAGTTGCACAGTAAGCAGGACCGTGGACCCCCTCAGGGGCCCCTTCCTGGGGCAGAGAACATTGTATAGCTTACCGCAAGGATCAGACTGTTGCTGGACACGACGTCTGTGTGGAGCCAGGAGGAACACATGTGGTGTCTGTATGGCTGCTCTCTACCTAGGACACCAGCTGCCACTTCTTTTGCCTCATGAAGAACTCTTGGGCCAGCCAAACTGGGAACCTAGGTGTCTGGGTCTTGTGACAACCAAAGCACTTTGACACTACCCCCTGCCGAGAGAAGAGGAGTGGATGAGCCTGCGGGTTTGCCTCAAGAAACTTCATGAGGGTCTCTTACTAACTCCATTACACTCTCTCTCCTGGAGCCTCATCTCCATGTCAAGCAGGAGGGTAAAGAAGGGAACTAAGAGCAGGTCTTTCAAGCCACACCCCCACCTGCGGATGGATGGGTTTCTCTGTAGGCCATGCAGGCCTTTGTCGCAGCAAACCTTCCCAGCAGCCCTTGAGCCAAGTAAAACCAGCACAACCAGCCACCAGTGGTTGGTGAGGCAGTGCCCACAAGGCTCATGTTGTATGCCTTTGATAAGGCCATCTTGGCTTTGAGTAGCAGTGTTCCTCGTCACCCATTTCCCCCTCAGGATTACAACACCTGCTATCAAATCATCTAAGCTGAAAACATGAGATGCGCTTGGAAAGGCCTAGTCAGAAGCCATTTCCTCTTATCATTTCCCTCTCCTATGCACCAGTAAGGCCCGTCCAGAGCCCCAGCAGGGAGTGGGCCCTGAGTCCACACTGTCCCTGAGTGATCCAGGAGGCTGCCCACATCCCCACATGTGCACTGTGGTTCCAGTGTAGCTGCTGTGAGCCCACTGCCACTGCCTCAGAAGGGAGCCACTGTGAACCTCTCGAGTGGCTCCAAAGAGCAGTGGCTTTTTGAGAATGGCCCATACTTCTGGCCCGGCTGGATGAAGGGAATGCCGACCCTTTGGCCTCTCCCCCTCCTTCCATCTCTTCTCTCTCTTGCCCTATCTCTCTTTCTACTTCAGAAAAAAAAAAAAAAAAAAAAAAAAGCCTGTCATTCACTTTTTAACACTTTATCCCAAATAAGATCCCTGTGTAATTCTGAAGCTGGTGATCCACTTGGAATTGTAGATAGTTTCAGGAAGCTCCTGCAGGGCTGTCCACCGTTGGTGTGTGCCTCAGTATTTGGACTTCCGAAACTGAAAGTGAAAGTGTCTTTATAGGAGAGAAACGCATGCTGCTCTTTGGCTCTTTCTGTCCAACTTTTCTAGAAATGACTCAAAGTCCATTAAGATTTGTGAATATTGTATAAATTAGCTATGGAAAGTAGCAGGTCAGATGGAAAATTCTTTTCCACAGCCCTGCTCTCCGCCTCCCTCCATCTTAGGAGCGCCTGCCTCAATTCCTCGTCAACTGCTTTGCTCCACTCCATCCCACAGGTGTGAGTGGGGGAAGTTTTTCATTAGGAATACAGTCTGCGTGACATGGAGAATGGATGGAGGGAGCTTTGCTACTCTGCTCTTGGCATGACTCCAGGATTTTTTTCTGGAATCCAACCTCTGTCCTCTTAGGAGAAGGAACCTGTCCTTGGTTCAGATGGCTGGGCATGAGGAGGAAAATTTCCATTAGTGTAGAACAGTGCTGGACAGAATCCGGTTTGGAAAATTACAAATCCAGTTGGTCAAAATAGGCCATTTCCTATGTGTGACCTATTCGTGGTATGCCAACTGGACTGCTTCCTAAACAGGACGAGGAAAGTGAGGAATATTTTTATATGAAAGCCTTAGCCTGTCTGGCACCCATGAAAAAAACTATTTATGCACTCCTACTTTCACCGTCTTTTTGCATTCTCTATTTGTAGCACAACAGAGTTGAATGCCACAAAACACCCCGTTTATAGTGAGCTGTTTTCAGTGACCAATATCAGAAGGAGGCTTGCTTCTGGACTAGCCTCACTAATTGCCAGCAGCCACCATTTTCCATGGAATGGCCTTGGGACAGATGTCACCTCTGTTATGGGGCTCTAATAGGAAAGAGAATGTTTTTTCCCTTCCTATGATCAATACTGCAAATTATTGCTGCTCACAGCTTTTATAGGATTCTCCCAACTGAAAGTTGCAGGCTTTTTCTGTCCCTGTGCATCAGTACTAACAAAAGACAGCCTCACCAAGTCTGTATATTTGAACAGAGGCAAGTTAATTCATCCCCCCGTGTCAGAGCCACAGGCATGTTGAGGGGGTTGATACGTAGCACTGGACCAGGGCGCAAAGCCCAGATAGTTCCAGCCATGAGAGGAGAGCACAAGAATGCTCTGCACTCTGCACTCAGCACCACCTTGGGTCTGCTTTGCCCAGATGAGGGACCACTAACAACCTTCTCAGCACATGTGAATGTGGACTGGTTTTAAAATGCATTCATTCTGCTAGGATTGGGCTGGAAGCTGGAACAGTGAGAGTACTTTTTCTGCTCCTAGTCATCTCCCTTTCTCAGCGTGACATCCTCCTGCAGCAAGCCTAGTATCACTAGCAGTAGTTCCTGCGACTCTTAGCAACACAACCCGAATATTTGCTCCCTGCATCTGGGTCCTCCACCAGGATGGGCCTGCGCATCTGCATTGCTGTACAGACAAACAGGCCTTTTAATTTACATCCTCCTTTAATTCTCATTAAAATCGCAGGGTTTTTGTTTGAAAGACAGTCCTTTTTTTATTTATTTTGAAAAAGGAATGAGTTAGGGACCCCTTTATAACTCTCTTGGCTCAGACTCGAACCCCATGGTAAAGTCACCCTTTCCGCATCTATCTTCAGGAGTTGCTGGGACTTGTTACTGTGTAGCTGCGTGGGGATTCTGGTCTGCTCTTGGACCACTGGCTGGTATCCTTTGTGTGTTTCTTAAGCAGCTCAAAGATAGAATGTTGCTGGTCTGCTATGGGTTAGTGGAGCATAACTCAGCCCCAACTGGACTCCACGGGTGGCTGAACCATTAGTAGTTGCTAGGGGTACAACTGAATTCAACTGCCTTCAGAAACAGGGAACAAAACCAGCCTGACTTGATTCCTGGTTGGGTCAGTATCAGACACTAGGAAGTTGACATCTGCTGCTTTTCTTTGCCACGTGTGATTTGGTTAGGCCTGTCCCTGGCAGATAAGGTCCTTGAAGCCTATGCTTGCCTAGCCAGGGAAGGCAGGACAGAAATGGCCAAATAGGGGCAGGTGGCCCCTGGGAAGGTCTGAGCTGAGGGATACAGGGGACCTCCCACCATTGCCGGATACCCTGTTCTTGACAAGAAGATCCTTTTCCCCAGTGCCAAGCCCCTTGGATCCATCAGAGAAATAGCCTCGGGCCTTGTCCTTTTTCACAACCCCACTTCAAAATCATGTCATCTCCCTGGCCTGATCCCGCTCTAAGCTACTTTGAACAACTAGGAATTATTTTTCTCAGAGGCTTTTTGGGCATTATGAAATACATCCTGATACATCCAGGGCAGTATACCCAGAGCTCCAGGCAGAGAGTGATGGAATCACCTCTTGTCACTCACTAGCCTTAGGCCCTTCTGCAGGTTAGCCTCTCAGTCTCTTCCTTAGCTTCCTTAGCTACCACCCAGGGATTGTAGTAACGTCCCTGGCACCTCTTGTGGGGGTTAGCTGGTGCCCAGAGCCTGGTAGGCAGCAGGCCTGGTGTCATGGGGGCTGCTGATACCACATAACATCATCTGGGTTACATGGGCTCCTCTGCCATCATGATTGATAGGAACAGAACCTCAGCCAAAAAGCTTCCTGAGCTGTAGGGGCTTTCCCTGAGGCCCAGGTTCACCTGGCCCCTTTCTTCCTTGGTCATCTCTGCCTTTGCCCACAGTGAACTCTGACTTGGTTGTTCAGTGCTGAATATTTCTTTCTTAATGTTTTGAATAGGTAATCCATTCATGTGGTTCACAAATCATAAAGTAGTTAAAAGCCTTTCTTGAGTTCCTGATGCCTAGCAAGCTCCGCTCCTCACTCCATGAATACCTACTATTGGTTTGTTCCTTGGGTATCCTTCCAGAGATCATTTATGCATGTACACACATGTGTATGTGTGTCTATATAATTTTTCTCCTTTTCTACTCATGTGATACCAGACAAGTGTATTCAAGGAACGCTCCTACTAATGTGGGAAGAGCCATCCCAGAAATCAGAATACAAAATGTGAACCCAGAATTGGGGGATGTTTTTGCAATCACACTCCTGTTGAGTAAGACATATTTTCATTTTATTGCAACATACTGAAATTTTAGTTTTCTGTACAAATCAGAATCTGCAGTCCCTCCCTTACCCCAAATGCCCAGCTAATCCAAGAGCACAACCAGATTTTTCTGATTGACTTTCTATCTGCGACAGGATGCTCAAGATCAGGCTCTGTAGCTGACAGCAGTGGCACAGGCCTCTCCCAGCTCTGAGCAGCCTCTGCAGGTGCCTGGACAGCTGCTGGCCCCTCCCCTACCTTGGCCAGTTCCAAGTGAGGACCAGTGGTGATGTGTGGCTGCAACTGTTGTGGTCACTTAGGCAAGCTCTTGTGTCTTTGATGCAGGAGTTTGAGCAGCAGCAACTGAAGGCTTCTATTTTGTGGGGCAGACATCTTAGCTACTGAGCAAGTGCACAGTGAGTCTCATGTGGATATGCCTGAATGTCCAGCGTCAGTTCATGGAGCTACTCCCTTTCCCTCCCAACTTTTCGTTGTTGTTGAGACAGGGTCTTGTTACCCAGACTGGAGTGCAGTGGCACCATTGTAGCTCACTGCAGCCTCAACTTCCTGGACTCAAGTGATCCTCCCGCCTCAGTCTGTAGCTGCGTCTACAGGTGCACACCAGCACACCTGGCTAATTTTCGTAATTATTTTTTTGTAGAGACAGGTCTCAACTCACTATGTTGCCCAGGCTGGCCTCCTCACTCTGTGCACACACTTTGAAAAGAAAATGCTTCTGGTCGGGCGCGATGGCTCACGCCTGTAATCCCAACATCCCAGCACTTTGGGAGGCCGAGGCAGGCGGATCACCTTAGGTCAAGAGTTCAAGACCAGCCTGACCAATATGGTGAAACCCCCTCTACTAAAAATACAAAAATTTGCCGGGTGTGGTGACGCATGCCTGTAATCCCAGCCACTCAGGAGGCTGGGACAGGAGAATTGATTGAACCCGGGAGACAGAAGTTGCAGTGAGCCAAGATCCCCACTGCACTCCAGCCTGGGCAACAGAGCGAGACTCCGTCTCAAAAAAACACACAAGAAAAGAAAATGCTTCCTACAGAATTTTCCCTTTATGCCTTGTTTTCCATTTGACAACAGAAATTACCCCAACAATTTTTTTTTTTTTTTTTTTTTTTTTTTTTTTTGAGACGGAGTCTCGCTCTGTCACCCAGGCTGGAATGCAGTGGCACGATCTTGGCCCACTGCAAGCTCCGCCTCCCAGGTTCACGCCATTCTCCCGCCTCGGGAGCTGGGACAACAGGTGCCCGCCACCACGCTCGGCTAATTTTTTGTATTTTTAGTACAGACGGAGTTTCACCGTGTTAGCCAGGATGGTCTCGATCTCCTGACCTCGTGATGCACCTGCCTTGACCTCCCAAAGTGCTGGGATTACAGGCGTGAGCCACTGCGCCCGGCCAATAATTTTTTTAGTTTAAGTTCATTTTTGTCCCCGCTGATGAAAGTTAGAGCTGCTTCCTCCAGGCAGCCCTGGGAGTAGGGGCACAGACTTGTGCCTCGCTTCCCAGCAGCTGCCCAGTGCCTCTGTCCACACCCACCTCCCTGGTGTACTTGCCCCCTACAGCAGCAGCCCAGATCCTCCCCTGGATTAAAATTGCAACTGGTGCCCTAACCCAAAACTTGAGAAAAAATTCTCTATCACATCCACTCTTCTGGCATTTGTAGAATCTCTGGCCCTGGGTGTGTCTTTTCCTGTAGCTGTTACAGATTTCTTAAGCAGATTTCTTAAGCAGATGGACATGTCCAGATTCATGCCTAAATATCCAGTTGATAACTGGAAAATGCTGGTTCACGGTTCTTTAGTAAAGATTAATAAGGGATCCCCATGTGCTGGGGAGTGTGCTTCCATTTGAGTGGGGATATCAGAAGAAAAAGAGGGGCTTGTGTAGTAAACCTTACTTTGCCAATTCAGCTGTAGAGCCCAAATTGTTACAAGATGCAAAGATGTACTCCACTTTTTGACCAAGCATCAGCACCTTTGGCTTACCATCCAGTCCTTACTTCTGTGACTGTAAGGGCCCCACCAGTGTCAGCAGACTTGTTTGTGCTTTGGGGGAACTCTCTTCTCAGCTCCCTTTGCCAGTCCCAAGCCTGGTGGATCTGCATCTCACGCCCACTGCACACCGTTCCTCTCCATCTGCCCTTCCCTCCCAGGCCCCCGGTCGGGGGAGCAGGTGTGGCAAGTGTTAGGAACTCCCTTCTGGTGACAGCTGGTCTTCCTAGAGTGTTGCTGGTAACTATCGCCTCTTGGTCTTCTGACATCATTGCCAGGAACGGGGCACTTTTTCGTCTTGTAGTTTGGCCCTCGGGTTTCCTCACTAGGTATTGTGTAACTCCCTCAAAAAAAGGTTTATGAAATGCTGAACCTCAGGTTTCATAGACGTCTTTGTACACTAAAAATTCTGCAGCAGAATATTTTTAAACATTCGCAGTTTTTTGTAAGCTATATTTTTGTATATTTAATTGCTATTTTAAAATTTTAATGCATTTTGCTAATCACTCCTCAAAAATAAAACATGCATGTAATTGACTCAAACGTGTAAATAAAAGCAAATTTTGAAAAATAGTGTTGTGCATATGCCTTTGAACAGAGGGAACATCCATGTGCCACTTACGCAAGCACCTTCAGCAAGACTTGGAAACTCAAGGTGAGTAATTCTATCAGAGCTGGTAACTAGTACTGAGTGATTGTGATGGAAGCCCCTGCCCTTCCTGTGGCATAGTGTGCAAGCGGGGGTGGGGTCAGTGGTGAAGAGTGTGTCAGGCCACCACAGCCAGAGAACAGAGAATCCTGGAATGCAGAGTACAGTGGAGTCTGAAGCCCCCTGGCCTCCCTGAGCTCTGCAAACAGCTGGATACAGATAAGCAGTCTTCCACGTGAACGCCAGCACCAGGGTGACCTGAAATAGCGGATTTTTTTTTTTTTTTTTTTTTGAGACAGTCTTGCTGTCACCCAGGCTGGAGTGCAGTGCAGCAATCTCGGCTCACTGCAGCAACCTCTGCCTCCCAGGTTCAAGCAACTGTCTGCCTCAGCCTCTCGAGTACCTGGGATTACAGGCACGCACCACCATTCCCGGCTAATTATTTTTGTATTTTCAGTAGAGACGGGGTTTCACCATGTTGTCCAGGCTGGTCTTGAACTCCTGACCTCAGGTGATCCACCCGCCTTGGCCTTCCAAAGTGCTGGGATTACAGGCATGAGCCATTGCACCTGGCCAAAGTAGTGGAACTGAGCCTGTTTCCTCCACAGGCCACACCACCCTGCAAAGAGTTGCCCCCACCCCAAGCCCCTAGCTATATCCCAGGCCTGGAAATAACTAGTGTCAGGAGAAAAAACGTCCAAAGCCTTCCTGTGTGGCCGTTGCTGCTCTCCTCACCACCCCTCACTAGGACCGAGTGGCTTCCCAGCTTCCATCAAGGCCAGCCACGATCTTGCAACCAATTGTGGGCAACCTCAATTCAGATGCCTAGAGAGCTCCTCTTCTCAGTCCCCTGAGCCACAGGCCCCTGGCCAGCCTCTCCCTGAGCAGTCGTTTTCTTTGCAGCTTCCTCCGTCACTGCTCAACTCTCGGTTATTTTTCTCACCCTACCTTAGAACTCATGAAATCCCCCTTGCTTTGCCCACCTACATGCATATCATTCTCAGCTCTGTATCTCCAACCCAAATACCCAGTGCTTATTTGGAGTCTCAAAATCACGTAGTCCACAAATGAGCCCAGGTGCCCTCTTGTATCTCTCCTCCCTCCCCTGTATCCAGTCACCACTTCCCAACACAGCCCTCTAAGCATCTCTCCATTCTGGCCATCCACTTCTCCCCTCTCCATTCTGGCCACCCACCTCCCATCTTAGTTCAGGCCTTCCTTTCTCACCTGGACCACGGTCACAGCCCCCTTCATGGCCACTAGTGGAGGGCAGACTGAAAGGGACAGCTGCTAAGACAGGGAAGTGGCAATGGTAACAGCAGAGTTTATGGGCACCTCACAACCTGAAGGTGGTGAGACGGCAGTAAGCTGGGATGAGGATGTGGGCACTGCTGCACAGAGATCAACAAATGCAGAGAGAAGGCAGTGTCTCGGGGCTGGAGCTCAGAGGTAAGGGGTGGTTGAAGTGTTCCCTGGAAATCAGTCAAGGTGATGCTAATGACTGCTTGGGGAGACCCAGGACTGAGGCTGAGGACAGCCACAGCTAACTGTCAGCAGAGAATGAACCAGAACATTAGTAGCCTGGGTGGCAGGACAGGCAAGAGGGCTCTGCTGAGTGAGAACTGAGATGAGGCTGTGAAATGAATGCCAGATTCGGTGGCATGGGATTCACTGGTGGCCTATCAAGAACCCTGCTGTGAGCCGGGCGCAGGGGCTCACACCTGTATTCCCAGCACTTTGGGAGGCCAAGGCAGGCGGATCACCTGGGGTCTGGAGTTCGAGACCAGCCTGGCCATCATGGTGAAACCCCATCTCTACTAAAAATATAAAAATTAGCCAGCCATGGTGGCACATGCCTGTAGTCTCAGCTACGCAGGAGGCTAAGGCAGGAGAATTGCTTGAGCCTGGAAGGCAGAGGTTGCAGTGAGCTGAGATCGCCCCACTGCACTCCACCTGGGTGACACAGCGAGACTGTCTCAAAAACCCTGCTGTGGAGTGACAGGGTTTACTGAGCACAAGGTGGAACATGAGGGAATGGACTAGTTTCTCTAGAGTAGGGGGAGGGCCCACGGAGGAGGAAGCTCAAAGCGAGGCAGAAGGGGACATCAACAGCGTCTTCCCAACTCAGGCACCAGAGACAGACAGTCCCGGGTTTGAGTCCAGCTCTACTCTTTTCCAGCTGAGTGACCCTGGGCAGCCTTACTCATCCGTTCAGTTTCCTTTTCTGTTAAATTGTGGGAACAGCAAGGGCTGCATGGTGACCCACGTCGAGCAGTGGACAACCTCCTGAACGCAGCACAGCAGAGGCAGCAGGACCACAAAACAGGGGCCTCAGAGGGGCAGGCCCTGGCCTCGGTCTCCATGGGAAGTGAGCAAGTTCACAGGAGTTGGCCCAGGGAGCAGCACCCTGTGGTACAAGCAGGAGGATGGTGGTGCCATCTTTGGTGCCTGGGTACTGGAGGAGGGTGAGGCCACCAACAGCGCTGCTGGCAGCAGAGGAGGGCAGAGGAACTCAGGATCAGGGCGTCAGAGGTAGTATAGGCCAGGAGCCTGCAAACAGCAGCAGCAGGGAAGAGGGTCACCAATCACTCTCCAGGGGACAAAATTACCCTCCACGCAGCAGCCATCCTGCTCTGCACCCACACAAGGTCCCAATGCAGCAGCACCCATATTTCCTAAGTGCCAAGGCCCATGTGCAGAGGTGGCCACGCCTAGTGGAACAGCCCACAGCCCACATATCAGTTCCCCTTGCCCCAGCTGGAACACGGGTGTCTCTGCTGCCTCCATGCGGCTGGCACCCTGCCCATCCCTCCCTGACCACAGCCTTAAACGGAGGGGAGCAGGGAGGCTGCAGAGCCTTGGGGTTTTCCCTCCTGGTCCAAGGCTGCTTTGTACAGGCCCATCCTTGCCTTCAACAGCAATATGGGCACCACTTAAGACCTCAGATATAAAAGGTGCATTCTCTCCTTGGGAAAGGCTTTTGAAATTATTCTGCAAAGCAGAAAGAAAAGCTTCAGCCCCTACCAAGAGCACCTGCAGCCTGGCACTCTCCTCAGGCAGTCTTCTGAGACTCACCTCCCAAGTGCCACAGTGCCCTGAAGGACCCCCCACTCCCCATGAGTTCTTTGACAGACACTTCAGTTCTTCCTTTTCTACTTAGCCTGAAAGAAAAACCAGATTCTCCCTGATCCCCTGAGGGGGTGTCAATTCTAGTGGCCCTGCTGACTCATGTTAGTCCTCCAGATTGTGCTGCTTCTGCCAGTGTACCCACTTGCATCAGAACAGTCCGCCCACTACCCAAGGAAATTCTGCCAAGAAAAGAAGCCCTGTCTCTCCAGACATTCATTCCCAGGATTTAGTGTAAAGTAACGTGGAACTGCCCTTCCAAAAACTGCTTGTTAAGTTTCAGGTACACAATTAACCTGCCCAATTAATTTTGCAGAACCTTGAAATAAAACATGTTTTACAGTAAGTTCACACACAGGCTTAATGCAAACCAGAGTAATGCACAGATGATTGCCAAGACCATATTGACAAATTGTGATTAGATTATAACGCATAGTAGCCTGCCTTACATTCAGCAAGTTCAAACAGGACACAAAACCAGTCAACTGAACACAGAGCAGCTCTCTTCAGAAGCACTTCCAATGAGTGATGCAGAGATTTCAAAAATACAAAGCAGGCAACTTATATACAGCAAATCCTCACACTGCCTGGACATGTGCCACTTTTTTGTTGTTTTTAATATATTTTTCCTTCCTGGTTGCTAATTTAGACTGAATTCTTAAGGATTTATCTTGATGACTTAGAAAAATACACCTGTCCTTTCTCACTTTGTTTCAGGTAGTACAGTCATGAAATTGAGTAAGTCTCTTAAAAAAATGAAAGTCCACAGATCCCATTGTGGAAGGTTTCAGGAACCCCTCCCCAGGTAATGATCACGGGATCTTCAACAGCTCAAGGAGTGCTCCAACAGCTCCAAAATAACCCTGAAAGAAAATACACCAAAAATAAGTGCAATTTTCCTTAGACTTATTCAAATCACCTTACACATGATGACTAGTGTTAAAGCCAACCACTGCCCACACACAGCATACCCATTTCCTGAGCACCCCAGAAGGGCCAAGGCCAGCCTGGGAGCAGAGACGCCCTAAGGAGTCCCTGTCTGGGGAGGGGGCTGGATGTCCTAGACTATCCAAGCACTTCAGACCACTGTGATAAGAGGAAAACCAAACCCGCAGTGAGGGCGACAGGAGCTATGAGGCCAGCAGCAGCTCAGTTACCTCTGGTAAGAGACAGAACCTGACTGTTTCTGGGGAATGAGGTGAGAAGCAGCAGAGGCCTGGAGCATTTCCAGACAACTAAGGAATGAAGGCGAGGTCGGATGCAAAGTGCAATGAAACAGGTGAAGTTGTGAGGTGGGTCACAGAGGGTGAGAGCCCGACTGAGCTGGGAGAGGGAGGGAGAGTAAGAGATAAGATGGATTCAAGATTCACCCCTAACAGAGGACAGGACAGCAGGAGGGGGCAGCATCCCCGAGAAAGGGGACACAGGAGTAAGAGGTGTGGAGAGCAAGGCCGGTGGGTGAGTTCCCTACAGGACATGGGAAGCTGAGGTGCCCACAGCAGCCAAGCAGCTGTGCCCGGGTGGTCACCAGACACCTGGATCACTGGCCCAGAAGCAGGCGGCACAGGAATGAAAACCACCACCCAAAGGTAACGTGAAGAGAGGTACAGAACAAAGAGCAAAGCCTGAGGAAGCACGGAGGCTCCCGAGGGAGGGCAGCCCTCAGCCCTCCTGAGACACAGAAGCAGCAGCTGAGAGACGACAAGCACTGTACTGTCTCCAGAAGCAGTCAGGTCACATGCAACCAAGAACTCAAAACCAAAACACAGGAATAGCACATTAGAGAAAACGGGGCAAACCCCATAATGACAGAAAAGAGAACACTAGCAAGAATCAGAGGCAAATCCTAAAACGATGCAGAATCCATCAGGGTCTCCAACCTGTAAGGTAAGATATCAGACTACTTTTTAAAAGAAATAACTAAAAAAGGAATGAGAAGATCCTGAAAGACTTGTGTATGGATTTTTTAAAAGTCTCTGAAACATAAATAACTACCACTCTATCTTTCACGAAAAGCTTCTTCAAGAAACCTGATCAAACGAGAGGCCAAAGGCTTTCTTGTCACACTCTAGTTGGCAATTTAAAAGAAAGGCATATTGGCTGGGCGCAGTGGCTCACAGGTAACCCAGCACTTCGGGAGGCCAAGGCAGGTGGATCACTTGAGGTCTGGAGCTCAAGACCAGCCTGGCCAATATGGCAAACCCCGTGTCTCTACTAAAAATACAAAAATTAGCCAGGTGCGGTGGCACGTGCCTGTAGTCCCATCTACTCAGGAGGCTTAGACAAGAGAATCACTTGAACCCAGGAGGCAGAAGTTAAAGTGAGCCGAGACTGCGCCACTGCACTCCAGCCTGGCTGACAGAGTAAGACCCCATCTCAAAAAACAAAAAAAAGAAAGGCATATTGACCATCTTTGGTTTTGGTGTGTATAAATAAAATAAAGGCAGCCACACCAATCTGTGATGTGAGGCGGCCAGCAGCTACAGGACAAGGCACAGCTGAAATACAGAGGCAAGGCTGTTTGTCTTAATAGTTCACTATACAGTTTGTTTTAGGCAGCTTTCTGTACCTTTTATTTTATAATAAAAATATAGAAGATACAGTTAACCATTATATATATATATGGGGGGGGTCCACTGAAGACTAGGATGCTACTATCAAGACAGAAACAGGTGGTTATAAACTACAACGTGCTAAGATGAGAATAAAGGATCAAAGAGGAAACGCTTGAGAGAATCTATACGAAGCTTTCACAACAAAAGTTAAAGTGACTTCAATGTGAGGGCAAGAAAATATTTCAAGGCTCAGAGAGGCTAAAATAATCAAAGTTCTGAACTGAACAATGAGAACACTTGGACACAGGAAGGGGAACATCCCACACCAGGGCCTGCCATGGGGTGGGGGGAGGGGGGAGGGATAGCATTAGGAGATATACTTAATGTAAATGACGAGTTAATGGGTGCAGCACACCAACATGGCACATGTATACGTATGTAACAAACCTGCGCGTTGTGCACATGTATCCTAGAACTTAAATAAAAAAATAAAATAAAATAATCATCAAAGTTCCACAAGGGCAGAGATGCACACAAGAGTCAAAGGCCTGAATGCAAATGGAAAACACAGGGACAAATGGACCAGCAAAGCTAAGCAGTGGGAAAAACAAAGTCAGCGAGCAATAAGGACAAAATGCAACCAAGAATTTCACGAAGGCTTATAACTATTATGATGATATCGGTTTGGTGTTTTGTTTTTTGTTTTGAGATGGAGTTTCGCTCTTGTTGCCCAGGCTGGAGTGCAGTGGTGCGATCTCGGCTCACCGCAACCTCTGCCTCCCGGGTTCAAGAGATTTTCCCACCTCAGCCTCCCAAGTAGCTGGGATTACAGGTATGTGCCACCACGTCCAGCTAATTTTTGTATTTTTTGTAGAGACAGGGCTTCTCCATGTTGGTCAGGCTGGTCTTGAACTCCTGACCTCATGATCCGCCCACCTCGGCCTCCCAAAGTGCTGGGATTACAGGCGTGAGCCGCTGCACCTGGCCTGTTTGGTGTTTTTGTTTGTTTTGTTGTTGTTGTTTGTTTTTGTTTTTGAGACAGAGTCTCGTTCTGTTGCCCAGGCTGTAGTACAGTGGTGCGATCTCAGCTCACTGCAACCTCCGCCTCCCAGATTCAAGAGATTCTCCTGTCTCAGCCTCCCGAGTAGCTGGGGATTATAGGCGCCCGCCATTGCGCCCAGCTAATTTTTGTATTTTTAGTAGAGACAGGGTTTTGCCACATTGACCATGGTTGGCCAGGCTGGTCTCCTGACCTTAGGTGATCTGCCCATCTCAGCCTCCCAAAGTGCTGGGATTACAGACGTGAGCCACCGCACCCAGCCTATTTTTTTTTTAAGGTTAACTTAAAAAACTAATCTCCATGTTCTACCTAGGAAAAGGTTAAACAAGAGGCAGAAATAAAGCAGAAAAAGATCTAACATTCGAGTTTAAAAAATTCTAATATAAAGCAAAATAAAATAAGTCAGATCACAAAAAAAGATGTATACAGAAACATGAACTGTAAGAAACTTAATGGCAATTCGGTGCTGGTTTACAAATACAGTAATGTTAGAATTTTAAAACTAAGTTAGATGACTTCAATTTTAAGCTTTTTGATATGGGGATTTGTGTACTTTGGACTTCAACTATGAACTAAAGCAATTTAAAAAGAAAAACTTAAAGTAACTTTAAAGGAAAAAGTAATCTCTAGCACTTCAAATCTGTGCTATTATCTGGACTTTGATTTCCTTTAATTCATATAGACTGTTAAACTAAATATGCAATACAATTCTGAAAAATGTTCATAATAACAGTATCTAAAATCCAAGAACAGTTGAAAGAATAGTTCAACTGCCCCACAACCAAGAAGGGAAGAAAGAACCCCTACACGCCTTTCCATACCTCTGCTTCTTTTTCCCCAAATAGGAAAAATAAGAGTGCTTTCCAAGACAGGCTATGAGGTTGAGCAATTTGATTCTTTTCCATTTCATCATTTCCAGCCTGTCTACAATTGTACTTAAGTTCTTATGATAGTATGGTTCTAGTCTGAGAGGTTTACTCATCTATTCATTTTTACAACATGCATCTTAAATAACTGGCACAAGAATTACAACAATATATAAAAACTGGCACTGAAAAAAATGAAAAAACCAGAACCCAGAGTAATGACACAGTCAGTGCAATAGAAAAAATATAGAGGATAGTTCAGACAAAAATATGGCATCAGAAATATAGGGGAATGTTCAAGGGTTTTTCTCTAAAATTCCTTAAGCTTACAATTAAATTAACCCAAAATTTACCTTGCATTAGTATCAGGGAAGAAACAGCTTTCAAATGTTACGAAATTAAACTACCAAAAAAGTTCAGGCACAGTGGTTCACACCTGTAATCCTGGAACTTTGGGAGGCTGAGGCTGGCAGATCACTTAAGGTCAGGAGTTTGAGACCAGACCAGCTTGGCCAACATGGTGAAACCCCATTTCTACTGAAAGTACAAAAATTAGCAGGGTGTGGGGGCGCACACTTGTAATCCCAGCTACTTAAGAGACTGAGGTGGGAGGACTGCTTGAACCCAGGAGGCGGAGGCTGCAGTGAGCCCCAAGACTGTGCCACGCACTCCAACCTAGGTGACAGAGCGAGACTCCGTCTCAAAAAAACAAAAAACAAAAGAAACACTGCAGCCCATTTCACCTCCACCCTCTACCTCAAGTTCCATGACAGTGTGACCCACAAGCCCTCTGTGTACATAATATACCACAACGAACAAGTCAGCTTACCTCGTGTTCCGAAAAAAGTGCTTTCAACTGCCCCTTGGACCAATAATCCAAAGCATATGCCAAAAGCCGCATGGCGATCGTATTAATTCTCAAGAAATTTCCAACAAATACCACCTGGTTAATGTTCTGAGCACACCAAAAAAAGGCAATTAGTTTTCATCTTAATTTCTATTTTCTCATAAAAGCTACCCCAAATACAGCACCATGTGCATAGCTCTTAGCAACAATTTGACTGCTGATCAAATTTAGTCCAGTTGGTCCAGGGCTACTTAAACTTGATCCCCAGACAACTCTGGACCCACTGCAAAGCATGCTAGATAATGTCACAGGAGAAGAAAACAGATTAGGAAAAACATTTGTATTAAATCTGACCAACAATAACTAGTTTTGAATACAATGTTTTATACAGATAAGTTAAAATAAACAAAAAAAAACAGTATGACTCCAATCCAAAAGGACAGTGACACAAACAGGCAAAGTATACAAGCAATATAACAGGCAGCGAAAAATTCAAACCACTAGTCATCAAACAAAAGTAAAATTTTAGACCTATTAACCTCGCAAAAAAAAGCAACTGAAATTCCACCACCACCATCAGTAGTTGTAGTAAAATTAATCCACTCATTCACCGCTAAAGATGATCTAAATTGGTGCAGCCCTTGTGCAAAGCATCATGACGATAAATGTCAAAATTCATGAGCATGATCATTTCTGTAGACCAGAAATCTCACTCCTAAGCCCCATATCAAGAATAAAATTCAACCAAAGAATAACTTCATGCTTAAAAATGCTTACTGCCGAGTTATGAGCAAGCAACCAAATGCCAAGCTCTGTTATTTGATATAAAAGAACTTGATCAAATAAATATACAACCATGAAATGTATATTTAAGTATAAAATACAAATTGTGGTATGCACACCAACTAAAATTTCTGAAAATACGTAAGCACAGGAAAGGGAACATACAATAAAGAAAAAAGAAGTTATGATATTCCAACAAATGTTTAATTACTTGATGCTGATACAGTATTTTTTTAATTTAAAATGAGACAAATCCTTTGTGTCTTTTGAGGTTTCCTTTTAAGCTACATGCCTATTATTATCTAAAGAATAACTTCTTAAAAATAAAAATAAAAGAATAATTTAACAACTATACACACAGGGACAAGCCATAAGCTGCACCAACTGGATCCTAGATCCTCTTTTCCCAAGGGCAGCCCATTCTTGGTTCTTTCATAGCCCTGTACAATGCTGCTTGACCTGAATGCTACAAGGCAGCACTGTAAAGAAGCTGAAAGCACAAAGACGCAGCTCTGCTGAGGTGGGGGAGCCAAGGAGGGCACCCCTCGGCCTGCTCAGTCTTCTCCCAGCTTCCGTGACTTCCTCTGGATTCCTCCCTAGGGCCTCTAGAGCTCAGCAGTGAGTGTGGAGTCTACATTCAGCATCGTTATCCATCATCACCCCCAACAGTCCCCAATATCTGGAACACTGGCTACCTTCCACTCTTCCTCTACTTTCTCCTCAAAAGATGTCATTTTACCTCTAGACAAGTAGCAATGTTTATCTTCAGTTTAAAAAAAAAAAAAAGAAGATTAATCTGTATTTGAAGAGTTTTAACTTCGTGCTAAAACAAACCCCACCCCAAATGACTACATTTAGGCACTGTTCTGAGAAAACAGACGTGATGGGGCCCACTTAAGTTCAGTATTTTCCTTAGAGCAATTAAAGAAATCCATGTCCCCTTACTTCATTAAGGGCACACATTCTTGCTATTGAGCCAATGTTGTTGGTGATGGTGATCAAAGTCGCTCTGGCCAGGTCCTCTTTACTGACAGCCTCTCGCTTCTCCTTGCTCATCATGTTTCCAAAGCTGTGATGGGGGAAAAAAAATCCCATTGCTAAACCAACAGCAACAAAGCCCAACAGAACTTGAATGTTACTTTATTGAAATAAAATTAGCTTTTAGGGCAACATTGTTGAAATCTTCAAACCTTTTATTTTGCAATGGAGCATCTGTTCAAAGAGAAATGCAAACTTCAAACAGAGCCCTCCAACATTCTAAATGAGCAGACAGCTTTCCCTGCGGTTTCTACTGAAATCTAGCTTGGATACCAGATATTCACATATTCAGTTAGAATCTCATCAGATGCACTGGAAGGCACCATTGCTCCTGCAACCAGACAGTTCCAGGACAACACCTCTAACAGCAATTCATCTCAACTGCACAGCTGTTCCACTCAGATGGCCACATGCACATCTGGTAAACTGCTCTATCAGAGCAGAGTAAAGCACAGACAGCTGAGTCCCAGAGTGAGCTGCTTAAGAATTTCAGGTTTCCCTAGAAGATAAAGTACTTCAAAGTACATGCTCAGCAGAACTGCTACAATAATTTTCCAATCAGAAAAGGAAGTGATGACCAACGAGCAAATGTTACAAACAGAAAATCAACAGCATTGACCAAGTGCCTAAAACTTAGTAAACAAGCATGTATACATATGATTTTTCTATTAGTAAAAGCCATGTGCCCCAATATACGAAAAACAATTGTACTTCTAAACGATCTCAAAATGGAGACAATGATTTCATTTATAATAGCATTAGAGAATAAAACACTTACGGATATATCTAACAAAAGTATTAACACCTGTACAATAAAATCTACAAAACACTGCTGAAAGAAAGCAAAGATCTAAATCAATGGGAAGACATTCCATCTTTTTGGATCAGAAGACTTTGTATTAGGATGGCCAAAAGATTCAATGTAATCTCTATTAAAATCCCAGTTGTCTTATTTACAGACCTTGCCAAGTTAACCCTACAATTCATATTCTCAAGGTACCCAGAATAGCCAAAATAATCTCGAAAAAAGAACAAGTTGGATGACTCACACTTTCTTACTTCAGAACTTAATACAACGCTACAGTATCAAGGCAGTATGGTACTGGTATAAAAACAGACATATATATCAATGGAACATAACTTAAGAGTCCAGGAGTAAACCCAAACATCTATGGTCAACTAATTTTTGACAAAGGGGCCAAGAGAATTTAACAGGGAAAGAATCATCTTTTCAACAAATGGTACTAGGACAACTGGATATCCACACGCAAAAAGAAATGAACTTGGAGCTCTACCTCACACCATACACAAAAACTTACTCAAAATGGATCAAATATAAGAGCTAAATATAAGAGCTAAAACTGGCGGGCGTGGTGGCTCACGCCTGTAATCCCAGCACTTTGGGAGGCCAAGGTGGGCGGATCACGAGGTCAAGAGATCGAGACCATCCTGGACAATATGGTGAAACCCTGTCTCTACTAAAAATACAAAAATTAGCTGGGTGTGGCGGCACGCACTGTAGTCCCAGCTACTCAGGAGGCTGAGGCAGGAGAATCGCTTGAACCCGGGAGGTGGAGGTTGCAGTGAGCCGAGATCGCACCACTGCACTCCAGCCTGGTGACAGAGCAAGACTCCATCTCAAAAAAGAAAAAAAGAAAAAAATACACACACACACATATATATATATGAGCTAAAACTATAAAACTCTTAAAAGAAAATAAACAATTCTTCATGATCTTAAATTAGGCAATTCTTCATGATCTTAGATTTCTTACACATAACACCAAAAGCACAAGTGACAGAAGATAGATAAGATTAACTTCATCAAAATTTAAAATTTCCATGCTGCAAAGGACACCATCAAGGAAGTGAAAAGACAACTAACAAAATGGGACAAAACATTTGCGAATTATGTATCTAATAAGGGACTTGTATCCAGAACTCAATAATAAAAAGACAATCCAACTAAAAACTTAGCAATAGACTTCAGCAGACATTTATCCAAAGACTACAGACAGATGGCCAGTAAACACATGAAAAGATGTTCGGGCTGGGCACAGTGGCTCACACCTGTAATCCCAGCACTTTGGGAGGCCAAGGTGGGTGGATCACTTGAGGTCAGGAGCTCGAGACCAGCCTGGCCAACATGGCCAAACCCCATCTCTACTAAAATTACAGAAATTAGCCAGGCATGTTGGCATAATTTACAGGTGTGCCTGTAATCCCAGCTACTTGCGAGGTGAAGCAGAAGAATCACTAAAACCCAGGAGGTAGAGGTTTCAGTGAGATAAGATGGTGTCACTGCACTCCAGCCTGGGCAACAGAGAGAGACCCTGCCACACACACAAAAAAAATGTTCAGCCAGGAGTGATGGCTCACACCTGTAATCCCAACATGTTGGGAAGCCAAGGTGGGAGGATCACTTGAGGCCAGGACAGCCTAGGCAACATAGCAAGACCCTATCTCTACAAAAAAAAAATTAGGCAAGGCAGTGCACAGCTGTAGTCCTAGTGACTCAGGAGACTGAGGCAGGAGAAACACCTGAGCCCAGGAGACACAGGCTGCAGCCAGTTATGATCGCAACACTGCACTCTCATGTGGGCAACAGGGCGAGACCCTGCCTCTTAAAAAATAAAAACGCTACAAGATATCACTTCACTCCTATTAAGACAACTAAAACCAAGAAGACAGATAATAACAAATGTTGACAAGAAATATAAACGCTCATAAACTGCTAAGATTGTAAAATGGGACTGCCACTTTGGAAAACAGTGTAGCAGTTCCTCAAAAGATTAAACATTAAGTGACCATATGACTCAGCAATTCTACTCTCAGGTATATACCCAATAGAATTAGAAATATATGTGCAGGCCAGGCGCAGTGGCTCACGCCTGTAATCCCAGCACTTTGGGAGGCCAAGGCGGGCGGATCATGAGGTCAGCAGATCGAGACCATCCTGGCCAACATAGTGAAACCCCATCTCTGCTAAAAATACAAAAAAAATAGCCGGGCGTGGTGGCAGGCACCTGTAGTCCCAGCTACTTGGAAGGCTGAAGCAGAAGAATGGCATGAACCCAGGAGCTAGAGCTTGCAGTGAGCCGAGATCACGCCACTGCACTCCAGCCTGGGCGACAGACCAAGACTCCGTCTCAAAAAAAAAAAAAAAATATATATATATATATGTGTGTGTGTGTGTGCATACATACAAAGACTTACATATAAATGTTCAACATTATAACCAAAAAATGGAAACAACCCAAATGTTCATCAACCAATAAATGGATAAAATGTAGTATTATCCACGTAATGAAATATTATGTGGCAGCCGGGCGCGGTGGCTCACACCTGTAATCCTAGCACTTTGGGAGGCTGAGGCGGCAGATCACCTGAGTTCGAGACCTGCCCGGCCAACATGGAGAAATCCTTTCCCTACTAAAAAATACAAAATTAGCCAGGCTTGGTGGCGCATGCCTGTAATCCCAGCTACTCAGGAGGCTGAGGCAGGAGAATTGCTTGAACCTGGGAGGTGGGGGTTGTGGTGAGCCGAGATCACGCCATTGCACTCCAGCCTGGGCAAAAAGAGTAAAACGCCGTCTCAGAAAAAAGAAATATTATTTGGCAATAAAAAGGAATAAAGTACTGATTCACACTGTAATGTGAATGTTTGAAAACATATGCTATATGAAGAAGTAATCACAAAAGATCATATACTGTATGATACCACTTATATGAAATGTTCAGAAGAGGCAAACCTACATTGAAAATAAATTACTGTTTGGCAGGGGCTGTGGGGGGAATGGAGAGTCGTAGCTAATGAACACAAGGTTTCTTTCTAGGATGATAAAAATGTCCTAAAATTGGGATTACAGTGATGGTTGCACAATCCTGTAAATATACTAGAAACCACTAAATTGTACGCTTCAAACAGCTGACTTTATAGTACGTAAATTATATCTCAATAGAGCTTTTTTAAAAAATATGCCCAATATTATTATTTTATGTCTTTTTTTTTTTTTTTTTTTTTTTTGAGACAGAGTCTCACTCCGTTACCTAGGCTGGAGCTCACCGCACCCTCCACCTCCAGGGTTCAAGTGATTCTCCTGCCTCAGCCTCCCAAGTACCTGGGTCTACAGGCGCGCACCACCATGCCTAGCTAATTTTTGTATTTTTAGTAGAGACAGGGTTACACTATGTTGGCCAGGCTGGTCTCAAACTCCTGACCTCATGATCTGCCCATCTCGGCCTCTCAAAGTTTTGGGATTAAAGGCATGAGCCACCGCGCCCGGCCCGCCTGTATTTCTTAGAACACACATGCCCCCTTACCTTGAAGCCACAGCCCAGCCTGGCAGTCCAAACCTCTCATAGTCCCCTCCATAAATATCTCGTACTAGTTTATCCACTTTGGTGCTATCTCCACGAGATGCCATTTCAAGAGCTTCTTCAAAAGTGGTACAGCCAGTAAGAAGACAGCAGAGACCAAAAAAAGTTCCTCCTCCAAGACTATGATTAAAAACAATTAACACAGTATTATAACATTTTTAAAAATAAGAACAAGAAGTTAACATTTATGAACCCCAAAACCATATTCACATATCCAACCCAATCATGCAAATGCCACTGGTAGGAAACAAGTCTGTGAAAAGATAAGGTGCCTGATATACACCTTTAAGGTACATATGCATGTGAGCCAACATGCAAAGTACAAAACACAGGGCCCATGTCCCCAGTGCAGTCTGGCTGTCTGCCAAGTATGAAGAGCCTCAGGTGCAAATTAGCCTGACACGCCTGGGGCCATGCTAACACCTCCTCCCTTTCCCTTCTCCAAGTACATTCCCTGAGTCATTCTCATCCAAGCACCTTGTCACCCTGGCTTATCAGTACACCCCCAAACATACTCCTCCTGCAACGTGTTTTGTCACAAAAAAATTACTCCTCTATTTAAATCACAACTGTTTTTTTAAAAAAATTGTTTATCCCAATCCCTAGATGCCTGTTTTTCCTGAAGTGACCTCTGACCCTTAAGCCGAAACATTCTCTTCTTCCATCTAATCCTCATTTTTTTTTTTTGAGATGGAGTTTAGCTCTTTTTGCCCAGGCTAGAGTACAATGGCACGATCTCGGCTCACCGCAACCTTTGCCTCCTGGTTCAAGTGATTTTTCTGCCTCAGCCTCCCAAGTATATGGGATTACAGGCATGTGCCACCACGCCCGGCTAATTTTGTATTTTTAGTAGAGATGGGGTTTCTCCATGTTGGCCAGGCTGGTCTCGAACTCCCGACCTCTGGTGATCCACCCGCCTCGGCCTCCCAAAGTGCTGGGATTACAGGCATAAGCTGCCGTGCCTGGCCCTAATACTCTCTTTTCTTTTTTTTTTGAGACGGAGTCTCACTCTGTCACCCAGGCTGGAGTGCAGTGGCATAATCTCGGCTTACTGCAACCTCCACCCTCTGAATTCAAGCAATTCTCCCACCTCAGCCTCCCGAGTAGCTGGGATTCACAGGCGCCTGCCACTGCGCCCGGCTAATTTTTGTATTTTTAGTAGAGATGGGGTTTCACCATGTTGGCCAGGCTGGTCTTGAACTCCTGACCTCATGATCCACCCGCCCCAGCCTCCCAAAGTGCTGGGATTACAGGCATGAGCCACCACGCCCGGCTAATCCTCTCTTTTCATACTACCTTCCCTCAATAATTTTTCTACTGATCAGTACATATCAACTTCTAAATCACATACATAGAATACATCATTATTCTACACACACATGTGTGTGGAAGCATGAAATTTACACAGGTTTCAGAGCTAGGTCCTTTCCCGTGCCTTCTCCTTACAGATGCTGCCTAATAACTTTAGCTACTTTGTGTATGCACACCATAAACTATCTGAGGGCAAAGGCTACAATGAGTCTGCTGATGTGATCTTTTAAGAAACACCTAGGATAATAAATCTTGAACAGTAGAGATTAAAGAAAACTAGGTCATAAAATCAGAATTTTCAAAGAGAAACATTTGTTTGCATAATCCAGAAACACTTTCACCTAACAGGTTCTTGAAGGTGTAGTTACATGTAATACCTGAAAACTCAGCCCGTTAGGATACTAAGAATAAACAGTGAGTTTTATATACAACTTACCTAGTACCTGTGACCCGTTTGTAATTATCTTTGGAATATACTGCTAAGATGCTAACCCCTGAGCCAATGTTCACCAGAAGCAGAGGATACGGATTTTTCAAATCAAATGGTAACTTCTGACACTTTTCAGAATCAGCAGGGTTTTCAAAGTAATAGCACTGTGACCGTCCATTGAATCCGACTGAGTCAATGTATAAAATTCCTTTGATCAAGCAATCTAGTTCATCCAGTTTGCAAAGCTGAAGATCACCTATCTGTAATGAAATAAGAATGTACTCAGACTTTTTAATAAGCCAACAGAAACAAAAATTCCATTCAATAAGGCATCCCCACTACGTGAAACAACCATGAAAGTGCACTCACAGATGTGTATTATTTGTGCATGCTTTACAGAACAGATTTAGGAGCAAACCTAGGGACACAGTGCTGAGACAGACTCCTGCTACTACAGACCCAAATACACTCTACATAGAAACTACTGCAGCAGCTGAATAAGTGTGACCAAAAAAAAAACAAAAAAAACAAAAAAAAAAAACCACAGCATTTATCAACCTTCAAACAGAAATTCAGATCTCTGCTTACAGGGACAATGGGGCTGATACCAAGCTCAGGCCACAGCACTATCAGAAACCACCTTGTGACACAGGGTGGGAGCCACAAGGACTGTGACAGAGGACCATCTCAAGGCTTTGGAGCAGTATCAAAAGAGGCCACACATTATTTAACAAACTGAAGCCAAAAGGCTGAAAGTATCCAGTTAGAAGGTAAGATTTTTTTCACTATCTAAACTAGCTACAGCCTCTTGGGAGGGAGGGGAATTTTAGCAGTCAAAATTTGAACTGTTTCATAATCAATTAATTCCATTTAAATAATAAAGGAATGACTAAATTATTATTCGTATTATGGAGCACTGTATAGCAACTAAAAATGAAGAGGATCGGCCGGGCACGGTGGCTCACGCCTATAATCCCAGCACTTTGGGAGGCTGAGACAGGTGGATCACAAGGTCAGGAGTTCAAGATCAGCCTGGCCAACATGGTGAAACCCAGTCTCTACTAAAGATAAAAAAAAAAATTAGCTGGGTATGGTGGTGCACGCCTGTAAACCCAGCTACTCGGGAGGCTGAGGCAGGAGAATCTCTTGAACCCAGGAGGCAGAGGTTGCAGTGAGCTGAGATGGCACCACTGCACTCCAACCTAGGTGACAGGGCGAGACTCCGTCTCAAAACAAAACAAAAATGAAGAGGATCTTTATGTTCTGAAGTGGGAAGAACTCCAAGGCATGTTAGTCAAAAAGTTGAGGCCAGGAACGGTGGCTCACACCTGTAATTCCAACACTTTGGGAGGCCGAGGCAGGCAGATCACTTGAGGTCAGGTGTTCCAGACCAGCCTGGACAACATGGTGAAACCCCATCTCTACTAAAAGACATGCAGAATAACAGGCAGAATCTGGGCCGGGCAAGGTGACTCACCCCTGTAATCCCAGCACTTTGGGAGGCTGAAGCAGGCAGATCACCTGAGATCAGGAGTTCGAGACCAGCCTGACCAACATGGAGAAACCCTGTCTCTACTAAAAATACAAAATTAGCCGGGCGTGGTGGCACATGCCTGTAATCCCAGCTACTTGGGAGGCTGAAGCAGGAGAATCGCTTGAACCCGAGAGGTGGAGGTTGTGTTGAGCCATTGCATTCCAGCCTGGGAACAAGAACAAAACTCCATCTCAAGAAAACAAAACAAAACAAAAAGGCAGAATCTCTTTCAGACTAATATTCTCTCATTTAGCAACAGAAAAACAGTCAGTCACTGAAGACATTTTCAATCTGTATTGCACCCTGACGGTCAGGATCTTGGCTTATTCATTTGTCAGTTCTCCGGCCTACCCCCACCATCCACCCTGAAAGGACCTAGCCTCAAGGTCTTGCTCACAATGTTCTCCAGTGTTCACTCAATGAAAGCAAGATAGAGCGCCTGGCAGCATTCCCCAGGGGCCAGACATGGTGGCGAGACTCCAGTTAAGTGTGCAGCACAGAACACATCAGAAAGCATTCTGGGAGAGGAGGGCTCTGCAGTCACCCATCTCAGACCAGCCCTGAGCCTGAAAACACCACTTTTGACCAGAGTTCCTTATTTTTTTCAGTTAGTGAACATGCCAGCAAACAACTGAGGGAGACAAGAGAAATTATGTGGTAGACAAGACTGAAAACAATTTTATGACATGAAATGATTTTAATTATATTTCAATCTCATTGTTCATGATCTAATGATGTTCCTTTTAGGTAGTTTCTTCCTCAACGTATAGCAGATGCCCTAATTTTTCATACTAAAGGAGCAATAAAATGCTACCCTTTTAGTGGTTCTGATTGTCGTCCATACATCTGAACTAGACAACCACCTCTAGATGGCCAACTCCTATCACTAGCGTACCTTTAATCTTCATTTGACTCAAGAAAATTCAAGTTCCATTAGAGATGGAAATTATTTCACCACTTGCTACTGGCATTATTTTTAACAATCAAATTACCATAAATTGTATATAAGCTAAAAAATGCATACTGTGAGAAAATCCTGCTCAAATTTGTACGCTCCACCTCCAGTGGCACAAAAGACAGTGTGGAGACTCGAGAAGTTTTTATCTCTGCCCATTTGAATAAAAGCAGGCATGTCATGAGTGGGAAAGCGTATAAAGTGCAGATTGCCTTTGCGTCCACACAGAGTCAGGTCCTTCAGCTCGAGGTGCACGTCCCGAATGCCTGTAGACCCATAAGCCACATTGGAGGTCAGGTACTTCCGAATGCTTTTAAGACTTTCCACTTCTTCCTCTTCTTCTTCAGCAGTGATGTCTTTGGGTTCAAAATATACCAGCTTGACCAGAGTTCCACCGATATCCAGTCCAAACCATGGAAAAACTAAATGGGGAAGAAAAATAAGTCAGAACAGCTTTTTTCTGAAAATTAAATTTACCCTTACCACAGTAGCAACTTATTTCAAACGCTAGGGTTTCCAAAGAACATAATTCTAGGCAAAAGGGTTTTGGGGCAAAGAAATGTGATTCTGTCTTGATTTAGATGCATAACTTAAAAAAAAAATACTACGGCAAAGACGAAAAAGAAAAATATCAAAGTATTGAGCCAACCCAACCATTCTGTCAGACAAGCGCAAACCGCACTATGAAGTGTTTTAAAAATAACAAGATGACTACTCGTAAGCCTCAACTGTGAAAAACAAAGATTCAGAATGAAAATCTCTCTTTCCTATCGGCTTAAAAAAAAACATTGAGACTTCAGAGTTCTGGTTTAGCAGCAAACTAGAAACAGGAAATTCCCAAACCTATGTAACATATAACCTCCAATGGTCAATTTATCTTTCAAAATCTGATATTCCAAAAATAAAAGGTTTCAATAGACATTAACACCGGTTCCCAAAATGTCCTTTAGGCCAAGCGCAGTGGCTCACACCTGTAATTTCAACACTTTGGGAGGCCAAGGTGGGTGGATCACCTGAGGTCAGAAGTTTGAGACCAGCCTGACCAATATGGTAAAACCCCATCTCTACTAAAACAAAAATTAGCCAGGCATGGTGACGTGCACCTGTAGTACCAGCTACTCAGGAAATCTAAACCAGAACTGCTTCAACCTGGGAGGTGGAGACTGCAGTGAGCTGAGATCACACCACTGCACTCCAGCCTGGGCGACAGAGTGAGGCTCTGTCTCAAAAAAAAAAAAAAAAAAAAAAGGCAGGGCTGGGCACGGTGGCTCACGCCTGTAATCCCAACACTTGGGGAGGCTAAGGCAGGTGAATCACAAGGTCAAGAGACCAAGATCATCCTGGCCAACATGGTGAAACTATCTCTACTAAAAATACAGAAATCAGCTGGCTGTGGTGGCGTGCGCTTGTAGTCCCAGCTACTCCGGAGGCTGAGGCAGGAGAATCGCTTGAACCCATGAGGCAGAAGCTGCAGTGAGCCAAGATCGCACCACTGCACTCTAGCCTGGCGACAGAGTGACACTCCGTCTCAAAGAAAAAAAAGGCCTGAAGAGATTGGATCAAAGTGGACTGCACAGACATATGGAAGGTCCCAATTTAATGAGGGCTCAAAGTAATGATTTTTCAAATTTACAATGGTGCAATAAGCATTCAGTAGAAACTCTACTTCAAGTATTTATTGTTTTTTTTATTTTTAGTACAGTATTCAATAAATTACAAGATATTCGACATTTTATTGTAAAATAATTATCTTTTATATTATTCATTATTAAATCATCTAGCTTTATGCTAGAAGATTTTGCCCAACTGTAGGCTAATATAAGGGTTCTAAGCACATTTAAGGTAGGTTTGGCTAAGCTATGATGTTCAATAGGCTGGGTATATTAAATGCATTTTGACTTACAGTATTTTCTTTTTCTCTTTTTTGAGGTAAGGTCTCACTGTCACCCAGGCTAGAATGCAACGCCACAATCTCAGCTCACTGCAACCTCTGCCTCCTGGGCTCAAGTAATCCTCCTATCTCAGCCTCCTGAGCAGCTGGGACTAAAGGTGCATGCCACCACACCCACCTAATTTTTGTATTTTTTGTAGAAACAGGGTTTCCCCATGTTGCCAGGCTGGTCTTGAACTCCTGGGCTCAAGCAGTCCACCCAGGTCAGCCTCCCAAAGTGCTGGGATTACAAGTGTGAACCACTGCGCCCAGCCTGATTTACAGTATTTTGAACTTCTGATGGGTTTATGGAATGTAGCATAAACATCGTAAGTCAAAAAGCATCTGTACATGCTTCCCCTCCCAATCTAAATCGTAGAAATTACTAAAGATGTGGGTTTAGGCCGGGCACGGTGGCTCACACCTGTAATCCCAGCACTTTGGGAGGATGAGGAGGGCAGATCACCTGAGGTCAGGAGTTCAAGACCAGCCTGGCCAACATGGTGAAACCCCCATCTCTACTAAAAATACAAAATTAGCCGGGCGTGGTGGCGGGCACCTGTAATCATAGCTACTCAGGAGGCTGAGGCAGGAGAATTGCTTGAACCCGGGAGGTGGAGGTTTCAGTGAGCCAAGACAGCACTACTGCACTACAGCCTGGGTGACAGAGCAAAACTCCACCTCAAAAAAAAAAAAAAAAGGGTGTGGGTTTATTGATATATTTGATATATTATTTTCTAAAATAATTCTGGGAAACAAGAAGAGATAGCAGGCCGGGTGTGGTGGCTCACGCCTGTAATCCCAGCACTTTGGGAGGCCGAGGCGGGAGGATCATGAGGTCAGGAGATCGAGACCATCCTGGCTAACAAGGTGAAACCCCATCTCTACTAAAAATACAAAAAAATTAGCCGGGCGTGGTGGCGGGCGCCTGTAGTCCCAGCTACTCAGCAGGCTGAGGCAGGAGAATGGCATGAACCCGGGAGGCGGAGCAGTGAGCGGAGATCATGCCACTGCACTCCAGCCTAGGTGACAGAGCGAGACTCCGTCTCAAAAAAAAAAAAAAAAAAGAGATAGCAGCAGCAGAACTAGGTTTACAGAGGCAATAACCATGCATAAGCCTCAAAAGAGGAATGCTATTAAAACTGGGATCAGCTATGAAGGTGAGAGAGAGAACGTAGGGGTATTCTATCCAAGCCGTAGGTTCAGGGCGGCTACCATGGGGAAACAAAAGCAGGTCTGGTGCAGTGGTGCAGTCACAAGCGATGGTGGGGAAATGTGTTTGGCACAAGTGGACAGGCCACTCCCTCTACCAATAACCATGTTCTATCCCCAACACTGACAGAAGCAAAGTCTTCACTGGAAACAGGCACTGGAGCCCCAGAATCAGGATGGCACTCAGGTGGCTGCTATTACCCAGAAGAAATAAGGAGACATTTTACCCCATATTTTGCCACGTATCTCATACCTCCCCTAAAATCAATCCTGACCAACTGGTAAACAGACACTGAATCCACTGGCAGAAGAACAGGAATTCTCAAACCAGAGATTATCACTTTTACAAACTAGAAAAACTACAAGGGAAATAAACACTACAAAAATGAGAAACTAAATATCTGAAGAAAGAGTTGCAGGAATAAACAGAATCAAAAATATTCTCAGAGGTAAAATCATAACTCATCCATAAAAAAAGCTACCATAGAGAAAAATCAAAAATTAAAAAACGATTGCCAGATGTGTGTGGCTGCAAAAATTAACACGATAAAATTATATACAACTAAATAAACAACGTACAAAAGAATCCATGCAAAACTGTTTCTATTTATTTTTCACCTTTTATTTTTATTTTTAGAGACAGCGTGTTGCTCTGTTTCCCAGGCTGGAGTGCAATCACAACTCAATCACAACTGACTGTAACCTTGAACTCCTGGGCTCAAGCAATCCTCCTGCCTCATCATCCCAAGTAACTACGACTACAGGAACACAACCATGCCAGCTATTTTGGAGAGACAAGGTCTCACTGTGTTGTCCAGGCTGGTCTCCAACTCCTGGCCTCCAGCAATCCTCCCACTTTGGCCTCCCAAAGTGCTGGGATTACAGGCCTGAGTCATCATGCCCAGCCAAAATTGGCAAAATTTAAATACAGTTTGTCCATGTTAATTTCCTAATTGTGGGAAAGAATGCTCTGAAAACCAAAAAAAAGGGACAAACTACTACATATTTAATATTCATGAATCTCAAAAATAGGGTGAGTAAAAGAAACCTTGCACAAAAGGCTACATACTATATTATTCCATTTATATGAAACTTTTGAAAATGCAAACTGGCCGGGCACAGTGGCTCAAGAATGTAATCCCAGCACTTTGGGAGGCCAAGGCAGGCAGATCACCTGAGGTCAGGAGTTCAAGAGCAGCCTGACCAATATGGTGAAATCATATTGTACTAAAGTATGTACGTATGTACTAAACATATGTACTAAAAATACAAAATATTAGGCTGGGCGCAGTGGCTCACGCCTGTAATCCCAACACTTTGGGAGGCTGAAGCGGCCGGATCACAAGGTCAGGAGTTCGAGATCAGCCTGACCAATATGGTGAAACCACGTCTCTACTAAAAATAAAAAAAATTAGCCGGGCGTGGTGGCACATGCCTCTAATCCCAGCTACTAAGAAAGCTGAGGCAGCAGAATCGCTTGATCCCAGGAGATGGAGGCTGCAGTGAGCCGAGATCACACCACTGCACTCCAGCCTGGGCAACGGAGTGAGACTCCATCTCAAAAAAAAAAAAAATTAGCTGGGCGTGGTGGAACGCGCTGAAATCCCAGCTACTTGGGAGGCTGAGGCAGGAGAATCACTTGAACCAGGAGGCAGAGGTTACAGTTAGCCGAGATCATGCCATTGCACTCCAGCCTGGGCAACAAGAGCAAAACTCAGTCTCAAAAAAAAAAAAAAAAAGGAAAAGAAGAAAAAAAAAAGCCGGGCGTCGTGGCTCATGCCTGTAATTCCAGCACTTTGGGAGGCTAAGGCGGGCGGATCACCTGAGGTCAGGAATTCAAGACCAGACTAGCCAACATGGCAAAACCTCGTTTCTACTAAAAATACAAAAATTAGCCCGGTGTGGCAGTGCATGCCTGTAATCCCAGCTACTCGGGAGGCTGAAGCAGGAGAATCACTTGAACCCAGGAGGAGGAGTAAATTTCAATGAGCCAAGATTGCACCACTGTACTCCAGCCTGGGCGACAGAGGGAGACTCCGTCTCAAAAAGGGGGAAAAAAAAAAAAAAGGCAAGCTAATCATTTTTACATCTGAAAGCAAGCAAATCATGGGCTTGAGAGCTGGGGTTGGACTGCACAGGAGGAGGGAAAAACTCTGGTAACCCAACTCTTGTTTGGGGGTAAAAGGGGTGTGTGTGTGTGTGTGTGTGTGTGTGTGTGTGTGTGTGTGTGTGTCTATACACATCTGTCGAAACTCATGGAACTGTATATTTTAAATGGATGCAGTTTATTGTATGTAAATTACAACATTAAAGACGCTGTTATAAAAGAGAAAAAACAATTGCTAAAATAAAACTTGACAGATATATTTAACAGCAAAATGGGCACAGAAAAAACAAATAGAAAACAAAATTAAAAGATTATCCCCAAATGCTTTTCAAGTATGAAAGAAAGGTCAATATAGTCAATATAGAGAAAATGGAACCTGGCTGGGTGCAGTGACTCACACCTGTAATCCTAGCATTTTGGGAGGCCGAGATGGGAGGATCACTTGAAGCCAGGAGTCCAAGATCAGCCAGGACAACACAGCCAGACCCCATCTCTACTTTAAAAGAAAAAAAAAAAACTAGGCCAGGTGCGGTGGCTCATGCTTGTAATCCTAGCACTTTAGGAGGCCGAGGTGGGTGGATCGCTTGAGGTCAGGAGTTCGAGACCAGCCAGGCCAACATGATGAAACCCCACCTCTACTAAAAATACAAAAATTGGCTGGAAATCGCTTGAACCTGGGAGGTGGAAGTCGCAGTGAGCCAAGATTGTCCCACTGTACTACAGTCTGGCCACAGAGTGAGATTCCGTCTCAAAAATAAAAAATAAATAAAAAATTAGCCAGGCGCACACCTGTAGTCACAGCTACTTGAGAGGCTGAAGTGAGAGGATAGCTTGAGCCCAGGAGGTCAAGGTCGTAGCAAGCTATGACCATGCCACCGCACTCCAGCCTGGGTAACAGACTGAGACTCTGTCTCTAACTAAAAAAAAAAAAAAAAGAGAGAGGGAGAGAATATAGAACCAGAAGGACCAACATCTTATGTTAGTTCCAGAAATTTCCTTGGGGAAAGGGAAGACACCAATCATCAGGTTACTCTAAGGGCTGAACAGTGTTTATCGGTCAGCAGAGAAGGGGAAGACAACTTAGACACATCCTATTGAAATTTCAAGATATCATAAGGAAAAAACTGAATTCCTATAAAGATACATAAATCACATAAAAGTCAGTATCAGACTTTTCATCAGCAGCACAGATGCCAGAAGACAACGGAGCACTGGCTTCAAAGTTATAAGGAAAATGATTTTGAAACTTATATCCAGCCAACCAAATAAGCTTTCAAGCGGGAGTGCAAAAACAATTTTCACATATGTAAGGGATCAACTTTACTTTTCAAAGACCTTCTCTAACATAATTGGTAGATGAATGCCATAATTTTAAAACATCCAAGAGCTTTAAGAAACTTTTTTTTAATCCAAGAGCTTTAAGAAATAAACAAAAGTACTGACTTTTACAAAAATAAGCAATCTGAAACTAAAATACTTACATGATTTCGACATAGGAAGTTGAAGAGGGAAGAGAAGGGAGAAGGAAATGAAAGCAAGCAGCAGTTCTGTCTTGTTGGAAAAGGGAAGAAAAGATAGATTCTGATTAATTCTACACAAGAATATAGAAGTGATAGTTTAAATGTGTCAAAATTTAGAGGTAACTCCAGAGGAGAAAAAAAAAATGACTTTCACATTAGAAAAAAAATAAAGCAATCAGTTCAAAAAAGCTGATTGACAAGAAATGGGGAAAAGTACAGTAAATACAAAACAGCCAGGTGTGGTGGCTCATGCCTGTAATTCCAACACTTTGAGAGGCCAAGGTGGGTGGATCACTTGAGGCCAGGAGTTGGGAGACCAGCCTGGACAACACAGCAAGACCACATCTCTAAAAAAAAATTTAGGTATGATCACGTGCACCTGTAGTCCCAGCTACTCCAGGGGCTGAGGCAGGAAGATCGCTTGAGCCCAAGAGTTTGAGGCTAGTGAGCTGTGATACAGCCACTGTACTCCAGCCTGGCAGCAGAGCAAGATCCTACCTCTTAAATAAATAAATAAATAAATAATAAAGCCTGTAATCCCAGCACTCTGGGAGGCCAAGGCAGGTGGATCACTTGAGGTCATGAGTTCGAGACCAGCCTGGCCAACATCGTGAAACCCCCATCTCTACTAAAAATAGAAAAATTAGCCAGGTGTGGTGGTGCACACCTGTAACCCCAGCTACTCGGTAGGCTGAGACAGGAGAATCGCTTGAACCCAGGAGGCAGAGGTTGCAGTGAGCCAAGATCGCACCACTGCATTCCAGCCTAGGCGACAGAGCAAGACTTCATCTCAAAAAAAACTTAAAAATAATTTAATAAATAAATAAATGATGGGAATGACTGCACTTATCAGTAATCACAAATAGGTCAAATTTCTCTTCTAGACTGAAGAGGAAATTCTGTGAGCTTAACCAGGAATTAGGAGAGAAAAGGAGAAATTCAAGTATATGTTGATGTAAAAAGATACCTCAAACAAGATTATACAAGTAAACTGAAGGAAAAATGGTAAATCACCCACAATGGAGTCACACCATGAGGAGGAGTTGAATGCTTTGAAAGATGAAAATGGCATTTAGTCAAAAGTATTACACATTATAAAAATGTTAAGCACTCTTAAGCACCTCACTAGAGATGAATACTAGATAGAGCAGCTGATTTACATTTAAGAGCCATAGTACAGTAAAGGTCATACCTTGTTTCAAGACCAGTGTTTCATTTGGCAAAGAGCTATGCTCACATTACAAGAGGTGCCCCTCCAGACAATCACGCCCCTTCCTTTCCCTACAGGGGAAAGGAGAGTCACCATTCTCATCCCTATACTCACTCATAATCATATAGTTACTGACGGAAACACTGGGTAGAATCGCTGGCACCATTCACTTAACTCACTTGCTGAATTTATACACTTGAATTTAAATGACTAAAATAAATGCCTGGAGAATGCTACTCCACTGTATCAAGCAAATGTTAACAGCAAGCAGATACAATACTAGCAGACCAAACAACACAAACAAAAAAGCATTAAGAAGGGACAAAAAAAAAACTCTCTCATGTGCATAAAAAGTACAACTGATGGGCCAGGCACAGTGGCTCACGCCTGTAATCCCAGCACATTGGGAGGCCGAGGCAGGCGGATCACGAGGTCAGGAGATCGAGACCATCCTGTGAATGGTGAAACCCCGTCTCTACTAAAAATACAAAACATTAGCCGGGCATGGTGGCAGGTGCCTGTGGTCCCAGCTACTTGGGAGGCTGAGGCAGGAGAATGGTGTGAAGCCGGGAGGCGGAGCTTGCAGTGAGCCAAGATCGCAGCACTGCATTCCAGCCTGGGCAACAGAGCGAGACTCCATCTCAAAAAAAAAAAAAAAAAAAAAAGTACAACTGATGAATGTAATAGCCATGTTCCTTATGCACATAACACATACTTCGAAAACACTAACAGAGAAACTGACACATCTACAAGTCAGTATGAGAATGACACAGACCTCAGGAATTTGTAGATTGCACACACACCTACAAAATTATGGTAGAAAGAGAATTTTAATATCATGGCTAATAAGGTGGATCTAGTAAACACAAATAGAACTCTGGGGAAAAAAAAAAAAAACAGCCGGATGTAATGGCTCACATCTGTAATCCCAGCACTCTGGGAGGCCAAGATGGGTGGACCACCAGAGGTTAGGAGTTCGAGACCAGCCTGACTAACATGGTGAAGCCCCGTCTCCAATAAATACAAAAAATTAGCCGGGCATGGTGGCACATGCCTGTAATCCCAGCTACTTGGGAGCCTGAGGTAGCAGAATCACTTGAACCCAGGAGGTGGAGGTTGCAGTGAGCCTACACTACATCACTGCACTCCAGCCTGGATGACAGAGCGAGACTCCATCTCAAAAAAAAAAAAACCCGGCTGGGCACGGTGGCTCACGCCTGTAATCCCAGCACTTTGGGAGGCCGAGGCAGGTGGATCACGGGGTCAGGAGTTTGAGACCAGCCTGGCCAAGATGGTGAAACCCCGTCTCTACTAAAAATATAAAAAATTAGCCAGGTGCAGTGGTGGGCACCTGTAATTCCAGCTACTCGGGAGGCTAAGGCAGGAGAATCACTTGAACCCGGGAGGCAGAGGGTGCAGTGAGCCGAGGTCGCACCACTGCACTCCAGCCTAGACAACAGCAAGTCTGTTTCCCAAAACAAACAAACAAAAAAAAACACTCAAGACCAGCAAGACTGTTTCCCAAAACAAACAAAACCATGCAAACATTCCTTTAAAAACCCATAAAGCACTCACAAAAATTAACTGCACTAGCTTAAAGAACTTCAAATTCCAAAGAACAAGTCACATTCACTTACTGCAAAACTTCAAAATTAGAAATTAATCCAACAAACAAAGAAATAAATCTATCTACTTTGAAATTTTTAAACTATTAACTCTGGGATTAAAAAGGAAATCAAAACAAAATTTATTTTTAAATGAATGACAGTGAGAATACAATATATAGAAACCAATAGGATATACCCAAAGTAGTACTTAAACGGAAACATCTAGCCTTACATATTTATTAAATATACTCAGCAAGAAAGCCTAAGGGCGAGGCAGCTCATGCCTATAATCCCAGCATTTTGGGAGGCCGAGGCGAGTGGATGACCTGAGGTCAGGAGTTCGAGACCAGTCTGGCCGACATGGTAAAACCCCATCTCTACTAAAAATACAAAAATTAGTCAGGCATGGTGGTGGGCGCCTGTAATCCCAGATAATCAGGAGGCTGAGGCAGGAGAATTGCTTGAACCCGGGAGGCAGAGACTGCAGTTAGCCAAGATCGTGCCACTGCACTCTAGCCTGGGTGACAGAAAGACTCCATCTCAAAATAAATAAATAATAAAATAAAAAATGGAATCTAGTTGTACAGTAAAATTAATAGGCCATAGCCAAAAGAGATTCTTCTCAGTAATGCAGCAATGGCTTTTACATTAGAAATTCCAATTAGTAAGATGAAGGGAAAAAAATCATGATTATCTCAACAGATTCCAAAAAACAAAATCCAATATAACCAATTAAAACCAAGAGGTTTTTTTTTTTGAGATGGAGTCTCGCTCTGTTGCTCAGATGGAGTGCAGCGACAGACCTCAGCTCACTGCAACCTCCGCCTCCCAGTTGTTCAAGCGATTCTCCTGCCTCAGCCTCCCGAGTAGCTGGGATTACAGGCTCGTACCACCATGCCCAGCTAGTTTTCATATTTTTAGTAGAGACAGTTTCACCATGTTGACCAAGCTGGTCTTGAACTCGTAACCTCAACTAATTCGCCCACCTCGGCCTCCCAAAGTGCTAGGATTATAGGCGTGAGCCACTGCACCCAGGTTTTGTTTTCGTTTTTGTTTTTTTGAGAGACACAGTCTCACTCTGTCATCCAGGCTAGAGTACAGTGGTACAATCACCAGGTTCAGGCTCACTGCAGCCTCAACCTCCCTGGCTCAAGTGATCCTCCCACCTCAGCCTCCCAAGTAGCTGGACTACAGGTGCAGGCCACCACAACCAGCTAATTTTTTGTAGAGACGAGGTTTCACCATGTTGCCCGGACTGGTCTCAAACTCCTAAGCTCAAGCGATCCACCCGCCTCAGCCTCCCAAAGTACTGAGATTACAGACGTGAGCTAACACATCCAGCCTAGAGCTCACTGATAAGAGAAGGCCCCTGCCTTCTAGTTAGTGAGTCCTGGCCATTAATTTTCAGATATTTCAGTCTATTCACAGCCCTTAACATATTTCCTGATATTAAGACCTCCAAGGTACTCAGTCTAGACAACCTATACTTGACTTAGGCCACATTTCAAAACGTATGCAAAGCACAAGGTCCCATAATAGGTCTCAACGACTGAAATCCTTTAAGAGTGTGGAAAAACAAAGTTTTTCCTCTGCTCTCACACCACAGCAACGATCAACACAGAAGACTTCTGTGAGCCCACACACAAAGCAAGTAACCAATTCTGCAGCACTCACCAGCTGGGTGCCCTCCAATGCAATTCCAACGACTATGTACCTGGAGATAGCATCATATGCCACAGGTCGAGGGCTAAGTCCCTCAAGACTGCTCCTCCACCACACCTCTGCCAGACACCAGTTGCCAATCTGGGCCTCCAGAACTTCTGATCAACTGGCTTCAAGTTGGAGTTTGCATGACCCCTCTTTGGTTTGGATTAATTTGCTAGACTGGATCACAGAACCTAAGAAACACATTTACTGGTTTATTATAAAGATATTTCAAAAGATTCAGAGGAAGAGACGCATAGTACACAGTATAGGGGAGGGACACGGAACTTCTGTGCTCTCGGGCACTGCACCCTCCTGGAACCTCTTGTTTGGCCATCCAGAAGCTCTCCAAACCCTGTCCTCCTGGGTTTTTAATGGAGGCTTCATTAGTAGGTATAATTGATTAAATCACTGTCCACTGGTGATCAACTTAACCTTCAAGCCCCCACCCCTCCCCAGAGGCTGGAGAGGAGTGAAAGTCCCAACCCTCTAATCCTGTCTTGTTCTTTCCATGACTAAGTCCAGAGGCTTCCAGCCATCAGTTAACTCCTTAGCACACAAAAGGACATCACTGTGGAGTTTCTAAGGATTTCAGGAGTTGTATGCCAGGAAATGGGCAAAAGACCAATATATATATTTCACAACATCACACTTTCCAATGGGAAATACATAGTTCAGTAGGCTGGGCATGGTGGCTCACGCTTGTAATCCCAGCACTTCGGGAGGCCAAGGCAGGCGGATCACGAGGTCAGGAGATAGAGACCATCCTGGCTAACATGGTGAAACCCCGTCTCTACTAAAAATACAAAAAAAAAAAAAAAAAAAAAATTAGCCAGGCGTGGTGGCGGGCACCTGTAGTCCCAGCTACTCAGGAGGCTGAGCCAAGAGAAAGGGCATGAACCCAGGAGAAGGAGCTTGCAGTGAGCCAAGATCGCACCACTGCACTCCAGCCTGGGCGACAGAGCAAGACTCCGTCTCAAAAAAAAAAAAAGAAACACACAGTTTACTTTTAAAAGTGTGCTCAATTTTCCAATATTATGAACTACACTTTTACCAGACCACAGATGGTTAATGACATCGCAAATCCATGTCTAGGCTGTTCTAGGAAAGCAATATCTTGGCCTAACATTGAAAGAGGTACTTTAATAATTATTCTTATTCCCAAAATAGTTTTAAACTCAGGGACTAGATACTTATAAAAGACCACATACCGTAAAATCAGCAAATTCAACAACAAATTCTACATTCAGGAAATATAAACACACAAAATGTAACGAACTACTAAAAAACTGAGATGGGTTTCATTTTTAGAAAGCAAACTTTAAGCCGCAATTTAGAAAAGTTTTCACATCCCAGTCAGTCTTACCTGAACAGTGCCTGAAGATACCCCAAATTATGAACCTGAGAAAAGCTCACAAGGCTACAAACTTTAAGTCCAAAAAACATCACCGCTCTTTTAAATAATCAAAATAGCCATTCTTTTCATTGCCTGATGCTCTACAATAGCCTAGTCTATCTTCCTCCTCCTATTTTTTGAAATGTTTTGAGAAAAAAAAAAAGAAAAAAAAAAAAACGGAGACAGGGTCTCCCTCTGTCGCCCAGGCTCGAGTGCAGTGGCATGATCATAGCTCAGTGCAACCTCAATCTTCCGGGCTCAAGCAATCCTCCGGGCTCAAGCAATCCTCCTGTCTCAGCCTCCCAAGTAGCTGGGACTACGACCATGTGCCACGACATTCTGCTAATTTGTTTATTATTATTTATTTATTTATTTATTTATTTTATTTGAGATGGAGTCTCGCCCTGTCTCCCAGGCTGGAGTGCAGTGGCGCAATCTCGGCTCACTGCAACTTCCACCTCCTGGGTTCGAGTGATTCTCCTGCCTCAGCGTCCTGAGTAGCTGGGATTACAGGTGTGAGCCACCATGCATGCCCTTTTTATTTTTGGAGAGACGAGGTCTGGCTATGTTGCCCAAGCTGGTCTTGAACTCGTGGTCTCAAGTGATCTTCCCACCTCAGCCTCCTACAGTGCTAGGATTACAGAAATGAGCCAGCATACACAGTCAGCAAAATATTTTTAACAACATACATCTCTTCCTGCTATGGTCTCCCCAGATAGAAGGCAGGGACACCAACACTAAACAACCATATTATCCAACTGCATGATTCTTACACATGGCCCCTAAAGTAATATACTGTACCATTTTACACAGCTGCATAAGGGGACGATTTTTAGTCCCTGCTTATTGCTTAGTATTTATTATATATCTAAGAAGACAGGCTGTATTTACTTTGGTTCCACTTAAAGTTGATAAACTGGCCAGGCACGGTGGCACACACCTGTAGTCCCAGCTACTCAGGAGGCTGAGGCAGGAGAATCACTTGAACCTGGGAGACAGAGGTTGCAGTGAGCCAAAATCCTGCCACTGCACTCCAGCCTGGGCGACAGAGTAAGACTTCGTCTCAATAAATAAATAAATAAATAAAAAGTTGATAAATCAATAGGTTAAAAAACACCTTCAGGCCAGGTGCGGTGGCTCACACCTGTAATCCCAGCACTTTGGGAGGCTGAGGTGGGCAGATCACCGGAGGTCCAGAGCTCAAGACCAGCCTGACCAACATGGAGAAACCTTGTCTCTACTAAAAATACAAAATTAGCCAGGCGTGGTAGCGCATGCCTGTAATCCCAGCTATTCGGGAGGCTAAGGCAGGAGAATCACTTGAACCTGGGAGGTGGAGGTTGTGGTGAGCCGAGATCACGCCATTGCACTCCAGCCTGGGCAACAAGAGTGAAACTGTCTCAAAAACAAACAAACAAACAACATCTTTTCGGTCAGGCACGGTGGCTCACACCTGTAATCCCAGCACTTTGGGAGGCTGAGGCAAATGGATCACCTGAGGTCAGGAGCTCAAGACCAGCCTGACCAACATGGTGAAATCCCATCTCTACTAAACACAAAAAATTAGTTGGCCATGGTGGTACATGCCTGTAATCCCAGCTACTTGCGAGTCTGAGGCAGGAGAATTGCTTGAACCCAGGAAGCAGAGGTTGCAGTGAGCCAAGATTGCACCACTGCACTCTGGCCTGGGCAACAAGAGTGAAACTCCTCTAAAAAAAAAAAAAAAAAAACAAAAAACAAACAAAAAAAAAACTCCCATCTTGCCTCTCCCAATGGGCCACAAAGCTATAGCAATCTAACATTTTTCCTCAGCTCCCAGGGGTCAATCCGTCCTAATTCCCTGAAGCTGAAATGCTGAGCCTAATAAAGGCAGCCTAACAGGGCCCCGGCTCCAGTTCCATACTGCCAACAGCAACGCTCCTCGGAAAGCCAAGAAAAAATGATCCATTTTCTAGGCTAGTGTTGTCAAGCTACAAACAAAAACTGTATTATGAAGGTTAGATTTGTAGGAGTCCAAAATCAACAAGCCCCAAAGGTCTCCCTGGCATGCTACAACATGCCTTGCGAGTCATCTTCAAAGGATAAGTTTGTTGTCCACACTACTGTGGAGCACTCTGATCACAGGGCTTCCACACCTTCTGCACACCTGCTGCACATATGCTCAACACCTGGAGCCCTTGATAAAAATGTATGTTCTCTTGTTACATGAGTGTCTACATTTGCCAAAATTGTACATTTTACTCTATTTAATTATGCCTCAATAAAATTTAAAATATAATTTTAGACCCCTTTGCAGACCTATATCATGCAATGGTAGGTTGAGGGAAAGTTTTAAAAACTTGAGAACCACAGCTCTGGATTACATCACACATACCTTCCCCCACCCCAAAATGTGGACCAAGAACACTGGATCTGAAGTCAAGACACCAGGAATCAAAACCCAACTCCATCACTAACTCACTATATGGCCTTGGACAAAAGGACAATTTCACTGAGCCTGTTTTCTCATCTGGAAATTGGGGATAAAAAACACCTACCTCACAGGATAGCTATGAGACTTAACCAAGATGCTTATAAAATACTCGGCATAGTGTCCAAGACAAATAAGCACTCAGAAAATGGTAGCTACATTACCATCATTAGCGTCTTGGTTTCCATCATTTTAAAATCAATCTTTATTTGGTATTTCTTTCAGCCCTGCGAGACATACCCCCCTCCCCACCTGATGCAAAACTTTTGAAGAACTTAAATATACACATGCCTAGCCTCATCGCTAGGGATTCTGATGCAGTAAGTCTGGGACAAGGGCCGGTTTGGGAACTACACTGCTCTAGGAAACGCGTGACAGAACACGACTACAACCAGGACCACAAGAATGCCTAAGATAACCTGAATAGCTCCTTCGACTTTCAAATGACAACTAGTATCTATCTGCACCTTTAGACAAGTAGTGCGGTATCAGAGTAAGGCTTTTTTTTTTTTTTTTTTGAGACAGAGTCGCTCTGTCGCCCAGGCTGGAGTGCAGTGGCGCGATCTTCGATCACTGCAACCTCTGCCTCCCGGGTTCAAGCAATTATCTGCCTCAGCCTCCCGAGTAGCTGCGACTACGGGCACGCGTCACCACACCCGGCTAATTTTTTTGTATTTTTAGTAGAGATAGGGTTTCACCAGAAAGGTGGCACCATTCCATACCCAAACCTCCCAACAATAAATAAAAAAGATTTAGTCTTAGTTGAATTCTCTCAGAGATAAGACTGAAGTATACTCTAGGAGGGTTCGGCAGTCAACAAGCTGCTTCTCCTTTTTTTTTGTTTTTTTTTTGAGGAGTCTCACTGTATCATACAGGCTGCAGTGCACTGGCACAATTTCGGCTCACTGCAACCTCCACCTCCCAGGTTCAAATGTTTCTCCCACCTCAGCCTCCTGAGTAGCTGGGATTACAGGCATGCACCACCACGCCCAGCTAATTTTTGTATTTTTTAGTAGAGACGGGGTTTCAACATGCTGGCCAGGCTGGTCTCTGGTCTCGAACTCCTGACCTCAGGTGATCCACCCGCCTTGGCCTCCCAAAGTGCTGGGATTACAGGCATGAGCCACTGCGCCCAGCCTGCTTCTCCACCTAACAGGGGCACCCCTAGATAGTACAGAAGAAACAAATGGAAGGAAGAACAATCAGTATCCTGTTCATTCCTTTAGCAGGTCTTATACTGGAAAGATGGGTTTTCATGATTTATCAGCCAGAGAAGATAATGAAGGGAATCACGACAAACATCAAACATCAAAACAAAATATAAATCCTATAGCATGAATATGTGTCTACTTAGTTCCCTAAAATAAGTTTCAAAACTACCTTAATATAATTCTCCCCACCCAGTGTAAACCGGTTTTTCTGAGTGTGGTCTTTGAGTCACCTGTATTTGAATATGAGGAGCTTAACTGGGCCCACTGAATCTGCACTTTTACCAGGTCATTCTCATGCTCAATATTTGGAAGTACTTCCACAGTATCTAAAAATTTTCGCCTCAAGTAAGTCAGTCTTGAACACAAAAGATCAAACTTATGCTTGGTCTTAGAGCAATGAAGAAATAACTAACAGAACGTAAATAATTCAGAAAAACACAGTGGTCCACCGCAAAAGCTATGAAGCTAGCAATTCTGAGTTTACATTTCTATTTCACAACGCACTAGCCATTTGACCGGGCAAACGTGTCCCAGTTTTCTCATCTGTAAAATGGAATACTACCACCTACCTCAGAGCCACGAGGCTAATGAGTTACCAAAGCTCTTAGTAGACGACTGCCAGGTCGGGCACAATGGCTCCCGTCTATATCCCAGCACTTTGGGAGGCCGAAGTGGGAAGATCGCTTGAGACCAGGAGGAATTCAAGACCAGCCTGGGCAACATAAGAGATCCCATCTCTATTTAAAAAAATAAAAATTGAAAAATTAGCCTGGCATAGTGGCACGTGCCTTTAGTCCCAGCAATGCAGGAGGTTGAAGCAGGAGGATGGCTTGAGCCCAGGAGGTTAAGGCCACAATGAGCCATGATCATGCCACTGCACTTCAGCCTGGGCAACAGAACAAGACGCTGTCTCAAAGTAAAAAACAAAAAACAAACCAAAAAAACCCTTGTGGCTAATGGCTATACTCTTATTTGCTGAATCTTTGGAATTTACATCCATTTCCAACGATGTAATACAAAACCATGAAGGATCTCATATTTTGCATTGCTTCAAACTCAGGTGCTTCTCAAATAAAACAAAACTAGGTGACTGACTCTGAAAATGGCACAGGTTAAGAATCTGTTTTCCAAATCTGTTGCAAGAAGATGGAAAAAGACAAAAGAACTGAAAACTCCCAAACTTTTCACAGCAAAATAGAACTACATTTAATCATCCATATCAGAGAAGATTCAAAAAAGCAGTTGGGTGACTGGGCTAAGGTAGAAGACTATTCAATAAAAATCTCACATCTTGCCATTTTCCCTCCCTCTCACAATCTGCATTTAAACAAGTCAATTTCCTGAAATAGGAATCTGGCAACACCCACCAAAAAGTCCAACCATATGTAAAATGGCATCACACTGTAAAGCTCATATTACAGTATCAGGACAATTGATACTTTCAACAGCAGCAATGGCTGCCAGGCAGCGGTCCTGAATTGAAGACTTGTAAAGGGGAGAAAATACACAACACAGAAAAAGAAACCTAATAAAATGGGGAAACGGATTCTCTGGGAGGAGCGTATGCAACTCCCAAGGCAAAATTCAGAAAGATGTTGTTTCCCCTCAAAACAAAGAGCCTTAATGCCCAGAATGCCACAGTTCTGAATCGTGAGTACCTGCAAATAGACAGAAGGAAAACGGAGGGGATATGTGGGTGAGAGATGACCTGGATTCTCACGAGAAGAAGGGCAGCCACCTTAGAGGTGCACGGAATACAGTTTCAGGCCTGGTGCAACTCAAGGGGCAGTTCACCATTTTCCAGTAAGCCCGAAATTGACGAATAAAAGGGACTTAAAGTATTAGAGAGCAGCTCTTTGGAAACCCACGGAAAACAAACATTGGGGATTCAAAGGATTTGGGAGGAAAGGAGGTGGAAATGAGTCAAAAGAAGCCTTCTCGAGGATAAAATCATGTGACCCTCAGGAAGAGAATGCCCAAGGAGCTAAGAAAAGGGAGGACAGGTCCTGGGGAAAAGCCCTCCACTCCAACAAGCGGGAAGTGCATACCAATGGGTGCGGGGGGGCCCCCGAAGGTACCGCTTTCGGAGCACCCGAGGCCTCCAGCCGGATGTCAGGCCACGCACCAACGAGGGACCACCGTGCGGGGACAGTGTCCGCGCGCGGGAAAAACGGCGGCGGGGCCGGAAGGGGACAGGGTGGGCCGGAAGGGGGGGCAGGGCGGGCCGGGAGGGCGCCCCACGGAACACTTACGCGGCCGCTTTTTCCTCAGGCTTTCGACGCGCTGGCGGGAGACCGAGGTGGGGCCGCTGTAAGAGCCCAGTCGATCCCGCCTCGTGCCCTCAGCCGAGGCCCCGACCGCGGGCACCGACGCGCTGCTCGCCCGGCGCCGCAGTGGCTCCTGCCGCCGCCCTTCGGGGTCCCCGGCCGCCTGCTCCCCAGCCGACGAGACGGAGGTGGCGGAAGCCCTGCCGTGGCGCTCCATGGGCGCGCCGAGCCGGCCCCCTCCCATCCGCAGCAGCAGTCGCTGCCGCCCGAGCAAGCCCCCCAGCGTCGGATTCCTTCTCGCCTCCTCCGCGGCAGTCCAGCCAGAGCAGAGGCGCGCCCTCGGCCGGCCGCCTCTTCCGTTGCGCCAACGCGCAGGAAGCCAATCCGACGAGGCTGGGGACGGCCCAAAGGCCTCGCGTCCAGTCGGCTCCCTAACTCGAGGAGGATTGACCGTGCCTCCGTCCAATGAGAGGCTATCGTGACGGGGCGGGGAGAGGGTGGTGGAGGAGGGGATCCGGGTTCCGCGGAGGAAGAGAAGGCGGTGTAGCCCAGAAGAGAGTGATGGCGGCGCCGCCCAATGGACGCGTGGGTGGAAGGGCCCGAGCCTCCTCATCCACCCCCTCCTTCCGCCCCCCACTTGTGCATGCCTCTGCCCCCCCGGGCCGCGGAACTCTCCTGGGGCGACCCCGAGTCCCACCCCGCTGCTCCGTGCCGTCCTCGCAGCTCGAGCCCTCCTCCAGCCCAGCAGTGCTCCCGCAGCGTCTGGCCGCTGGTCGTCGGCAGACGAAAGGGCTTGAACCGCGGCTGACCTTAGCCTTTGTCCCTCGGCCTAGTTCCGCAGCTGCCGTCGAGGCCGCCAGCCCCTCCCCCAGCATGTTTGGGCTAAGCCGCCTCCTTTCCGCCTGCGTTGGAGAGAGAGGTACCAGAAGGAATGAAAGGACTGGGGCTTGTCTCCATGGCAACTGAAAGAAAGAGGTGGGTTATAAATCCTTCGCCACCCTCCTGTGGCGAAGGAGGGGAAGTGGGAGCCGGGAAGTAGAGTTGGCCTTTTGCAGGAGAGTCTGGAGCCCCTTTCTGGGTGATGCATTGGGGGCCATAGAAGGATTTGGCTGCCGCTTTGGAGCATGGATTTTTTTTTTAATCATCTTCCTTTCTCTTTTGGAGAGAAAAATTGGTCACCTCCAGGACTGAGACCCTGACCCTTCCAAGCATCCCCACTACCAAAGGCTGCCCAAGCCCGGAAGGATCCCATCCCGTTCTGTACTCTGAGGTCACTTCCTCACTCCGTCAAATTTCACTGGACTGTGGGCTAATTAAAAGTGCCTCCGTATTAGCGGGGCGTGGTGGCCCATGCCTATAATCCCAGCTACTTGGGAAGCTGAGGCAGGAAAATTGCTTGAACCCGGGTGGCGGAGGCTGCAGTGACCCAACATTGTGCAACAAGAGCGAAACTCCGTCTCAAAAAAAATAAAAAATAAAAAAGAGTGCCTCCCTGGGGAGACTGTAATGCCCACTGGGCAGTGATCCTAATGCCCCTTGGGCAGTGATCCTTATTCCCCTCTCCCATAATGATTGGTTGTAGCAGGCTGAACAAAAAGGTTGAGCTTCGCTTGTGCTTGCTGAATAGAATTCTCACGCCCACTCCACGTTAGCTCCCCTCACTGTAGGACTAGCTCTGAAAATTCTAGCTCCTGTAGGAAGCCAACACAGACGGATCTACAAGAACCAAAAACAGCTATAGCTACTCTTCTAAATCTCAGTGCCTGACATTGCCTCTCTTTCTGCCTCCTCTCTCCACCCCCCAAAAAATGTGGTCCTCCTTGACCTGAGGGAGCTTCCGTCCAAGTCTGAGCTCTGATCATCCTGAAGAATCAAAGTATCATCATCCCTTGGCTGGCAAGATGAACTCCAACATCAAAACACTTGAAACAGTAGTATTTTTACACAATTTGCCCACTGCCTCTACATCTCACTTAGTCCTTGCAGTAACATTTGGATGATGAGGTAACTTATCCAGAAGCACAAAGCCTAAAGAATGACAGAGCTTGGACTCCTGAGAAGTTCAGCTACTGCCCGCCTTATGATAACCAAAAGAAAGCGGCCGGGCGCAGTGGCTCAACTCCTGTAATCCCAGCACTTTGGGAGGCCGAGGCGTGCGAATCACAAGGTCAGGAGTCCGAGACCAGCCTGGCCAACACAGGGAAACCCCGTCTCTACTAAAAAAAACAAACACAAAAATTAGTTGGGCGTGGTGGTGGGCACCTGTAATCCCAGCTACTTGGGAGGCTGAGGCAGGAGAGTCACTTGAATCCGGTAGGCGGAGGTTGCAGTGAGCCGAGATCGTGCCACTGCACTCCAGCCTGGGAGACAGTGAGACTCCGTCTCTAAAAAAAAATGAATAAATAAATAAGAAGGCACACCACAAGTTCGAGACCACTTCTACAAAAAATAAAAAATAAAAAAAATTAGGCCAGGCACAGTGGCTCATGCCTGTAATCCAAGCACTTTGGGAGGCTGAGGCGGGCGGATCACTGGAGGTCAGGAGTTTCAGACCAGCCTGGCCCAACATGGTGAAACCCTGTCTCTACTAAAAATACAAAACTTAGCTGGGCGTAGTGGTGCGTGCCTGTAATCCCACTTACTCCAGAAGCTGAGGCAGAAGAACTGCTTGAACCTGGGATGCAGAGGTTGCAGTGAGCTGAGATTGCACCACTGCACTCCAGCCTGGGCAACAGAGTGGGACTCTGCCTCAAAAAAAAAAAAAAAAAGAAAATGAAGATGACCAAATGGGCTTCTAGATGGCTAATGATATTCTGTTTCTTTGATCTGGGTGGGGGTTACATGGGTGTGTTCCCTTTGTAATATGTTATCAAGACATTTTGTGCACTTTTTTGGGTATTATACTGAAAGAAAACATTTATTTTTTAAAAAGTTGAAAAATTGCCTTGGAGCAGAGTAAGGTAAATCTATGATTAAGCTTAGATTTTTTTATTTTTTATTTTTTATTTTTTTTCAAAAAAAATGAGGCCAGGCGCGGTGGCTCACGCCTGTAATCCCAGCACGTTGGGAGGCCGAGGTGGGCAGATCACGAGGTCAGGAGGTCGAGACCATCCTGGCTAACACGGTGAAATCCCATCTCTACTAAAAATACAAAAAATTAGCCAGGCATGGTGGCAGGCACCTGTAGTCCCAGCTACTCGGGAGGCTGAGGCAGGAGAATGGCATGAACCTGGGAGGCAGAGCTTGCAGTGAGCCAAGGTCACGCCACTGCACTCCAGCCTGGGTGACAGAGCAAGACTCGTCTCAAAAAAAAAAAAAAAAGTAAAATGAACCTAACAAGAGGCATCCTTTCTCTGTGGTTATTATAGTGAGAACTAAGTTCTTTATCACTCTCCGGTTATTTACCCCTAGAGAGAAGCCAACTTTCTGGTTGTATACACCAGAATAAGTACAAGAATGGTAAGCATAGAGCTTCAGAGAAACTAGCCAGATTCTAAAGGAATGACTTGAAAATCGAGAGCCGTTTCAATGACAAAACATCATACAAAATATTCATCTACCACATTAGAGGCCTATCGCTAGGTAAAAACACCAAAACTTCAGCTTAAACAGTAGTATGTATGTATGTATTATCCCAGTTTCTGTGAGTCAGGAATTCAGGATTGATAAGCTGGGTGGTTCTTGTTCAGAATCTTTCAAGAGGTTGCAGTCCTCTGAAAGTGTAGTGGGTTGGGGTATCCACTTCCAAGGTGGCTTGCTCATATGGCTGGCAAGTTGGTGCTGGCTGTTGGCAGGAGGCCTCAGCTCACAATGCAGGCTTTCATAGGACTACGTGAGTGTCCTTTCAACATGGCAGCAGGCCTTCCCTAGAGCTAGTGAAGGATGAGAAAACGACAAATCGCAATGTCTTTTATGACCTAGGCTGGGAAGTTATACTCCATCATTTATGCAATATCCTGTTATCACACAGGTCATCCCTATTCAGTGTAGGTTGGTACTACACAAGGACATGAATATCAGGAGGAAGAGAATCTCTGGAGGCCATCTTGGAGCCCATAGTCCGCCTTCTGCCCCCTAATGATTCACGTCTTCGTCTGTTCCTGCTCTCTAAGAGCCAGGAGGCAGACTTCCCTTGAGCTTTCTTGCAGCTAAAGTAGAGCATCATTAGCAGTAAAAATTAAGATATCATCACAAAGGCCAGGCACAGTGGCTCACGCCTGTAATCCCAACACTTTGGGAGGCCAAGGTGGGCGGATCACCTGAGGTCAGGAGTTCGAGACATGCCTGGCCAACATGGTGAAACCCTGTCTTCACTAAAAATACAAAAATTAACCTGGTGTGTTGGCGGGCACCTCTAATCCCAGCTACTTAGGAGGCTGAGCCAGGAGAATCACTTGAAACCAGAGGCGGACGTTGTAGTGAGCCAAGATGGCACCACTGAACTTGAGCCTGGGTGACAGAGCAAGACTCCATCTCAAAAAAAAAAAAAAAAAAGACATCACAAGATTGCCAGGCACAGAGGCTTAAACACCAAGTTCTTTCTCATGTCATCGTGTTTCGTCGGTGCCGAGGACATGAGGGGTGTAGATCAGGCCTGTTTCAAACACAAGGCCTTTTGGCCAGAGTGTAATGGTGTGAGGACTTGGGAAGACCTTACCTACTTAACTGTCTCTCTCAAAGGACAAAGGTATGAGGGGGTTAAAAAAAAAAAAAAAAAGGCAAAGCTATGAAGAACATGAAGTTCTTAAGCCCCTAGACACTCTTCCAAGGTCTGGCCTGTATCCCAGAGTCCACTGCTGAAAAGGGGCAGAGATGTGTGTTATATGCGCACATACGTACGCATAGTATAGCTAGCATATGGCATTCTGGTGGCCTCGACGGAGCTCACAGGCAATATAACAGCATTGACTGCTTTCACAGTTTCCACTTGTCTCAGGAAAATAGAGAAAATTCAAGATGAAATACAGTGAGTTTAGGACAACTCAGTTTCCTAAATATGGAAGATCCTGTCCCTTCCCAAGTATTGAAAGAGATGAAAATTTTCCCTTAGTTTTCAAGCTCAAAGTCTATCTTATCTTTGACTAAATAGCCCTGATTTGGATACTGTTAACTTGCTCTTAACTACTAATAGTCTAGTGCTTTTACTTTATTTTATTTTATTTATTTTCTTTGAGACGGAGTCTCTGTTGCCCAGGCTGGAGTGCAATGGCACTATCTCGGCTCACTGCAACCTCCACCTCCTGGGTTCAAGCGATTCTCCTTACTGAGCCTCCCGAGTAGCTGGGAGTACAGGCGCACACCACCATGCCTGGCTAATTTTTGTACTTTTAGTAGAGATGGAGTTTTGCTACGTTGGCCAGGGTGGTCTCGAACTCCAACTCAGGTGATCCACCCACCTTGGCCTCCCAAAGTGCTGGAATTACAGGGATGAGCCACTGCACACAGCCTATTTGTTTTTTAAGAGACGTGATCTCGGGACCAGGCATGATGGCCCTTGCTTAATCCCAGCACTTTGGGAGGCCAAGGCAGGCGGATCACATGAGTCCAGGAGTTAGAGACCAGCCTGGGCAATGTGGCAAAACCCCATCTCTACAAAAATACAAAAATTAGCCAGGCGTGGTGGCACATGCCTGTGGTCCCAGCTACTCAGGAGGCTGAGGTGGGAGGATCGCCTGAACCAGGGAGGTGGAGGTTGCAGTGAACCAAGATCGCACCACTGCACTCAGCCTGGACCACAGAGCGAGACACTGTCTCAAAAAAAAAAAAAGGATCTCACTCTCACCGAGTCACATTTCAAGTAGTCAATAGCCACAAGTACCAGGCACGGTGGCTCACGCCTGTAATCCCAGCACTTTGGGAGGCCGAGGCGGGCAGATCACGAGGTCAGGGGATCGAGACCATCCTGGCTAACATGGTGAAACCCCGTCTCTACTAAAAATACAAAAAATTAGCCGGGCATGGTGGCGGGCGCCTGTAGACCCAGCTGCTTGGGAGGCTGAGGCAGGAGAATGGCGTGAACCTAGGAGGCGGAGCTTGCAGTGAGCCGAGATCGCGCCACTGCACTCCAGCCTGGGCGACAGAGCAAGACTCCGTCTCAAAAAAAAAAAAAAGAAAAAAATAAATAGCCACAGGTGTCTAGTGGCTATCACAAACAGAAAGCTCTAATTAGTAATTTATTTCAATGGCCTCCTAAGAGTTTGTTCTGCCTCTAGTCTCTACTCTCCAGGCCCACAGCTCCCAGGGTAATCTTATTAAAGCATTCTCCTGTTTATAATCTCGCCTATGTTAAAAAGGTTATGGTGGCTTCTTTGCCTACAGAATGAAGTTCAAACAACTTGACATCCAAGGAGCTCCACCATTTGGTATCTTCCCACTTTTTCTTTTTCTTTTTTTTTTTTTTTTTTTTGAGATGGAGTCTCACTCTGTCACCCAAGCTGGAGTGCGGTGGCACAATCTCGGCTCACTGCAAGCTCCACCTCCCGGGTTCATGCCATTCTCCTGCCTCAGCCTCCGGAGTAGCTGGGACTACAGGCGCCTGCCACCACACTGGGCTAATTTTTTGTATTTTTTTAGTAGAGACGGGGTTTCACCGTGTTAGCCAGGATGGTCTCGATCTCCTGACCTCATGATCCGCCCGCCTCAGCCTCCCAAAGTGCTGGGATTACAGGCGTGAGCCACCGCGCCCAGCATCTTCCCACTTTTTCTCATTGCTTTATTATGCTTGCATAACTGTTCTAACAAAACAAATCTCACAATTCTCTAGATAAGCCTTATTCTTACCCAGCTTTGGCTCATCCTTCATCTCTACATCTTTTTTTTTTTTTTCTTTTGAAACGGAGTTTTGCTCTTGTTGCCCAGGCTGGAATGCAATGGTGCTATCTCAGCTCACCGCAACCTCTGCCTCCTGGGTTCAAGCGATTCTCCTGCCTCAGCCTCCCAAGTAGCTGGGATTACAGGGATGCACCACCACACCCAGCTAATTTTTGTATTTTTAGTAGAGATGGGGTTTCTCCACGTTGGTCAGGCTGGTCTTGAACTCCCGACCACAGGTGATCTGCCTGCCTCAGCCTCCCAAAGGGCATCTCTACATCTCTACATAAAATTCCTTCCCGCCACATTTCTGCTTATCAAAATCCAATCCAACTTCTATGGCATGGCCCAAATGATACCTCCTCCTTAATGTCTTCATTGATTACCACAGTTCACTGTAAACCTGATCTTTTTTTTTTTTTTTTTTTTTTTTTGGAGACAGAGTCTGTCTCTCCATCGCCCAGGCTGGAGTGCACTGGCGCAATCTCAGCTCACTCCATCCTCCATCTCCTGGGTTCAAGTGATTCTCCTGCCTCAGCCTCCCAAGTAGCTGGGACTACAGGTGCATGCCACCACACCCGGCTAATTTTTGTATTTTTTAGTAGAAACAGGGTTTCACCAGTCTGGTCTTGAACTCCTAACCTCAGGTGATCCACCCACCTCAGCCTCCCACAGTGCTGGGATTACAGGCATGAGCCTCTGCACCCGGCCAACCCTGATTTTTTTTTTTTTTTTGAGACATAGTCTTGCTCTGTTGCCCAGGCTGGAGTGCAGTGGCACGATCTCGGCTCACTGCAAGCCCCGCCACCCAGGTTCACGCCATTCTCCTGCCTCAGCCTCCCGAGTAGCTGGGACTACAGGCGCCTGCCACCACGCCCGGCTAACTTTTTTTTGTATATTTAGTAGAGACGGGGTTTCACTGTGTTAGCCAGGATGGTCTTGATCTCCTGACCTCGTGATCCGCCCGCCTCGGCCTCCCAAAGTGCTGGGATTACAGGCGTGAGCCACCATGCCTGGCCCTTTTTTTTTTTTTTTTGAGACAGGGTCTGGCTCAGTCACCCAAGGTGGAGTGCAGTGACGCAATCATGGCTCACTACAACCTCCACCTCCCCGGCTCAAGCAGTCCTCCCACCTCAGCCACTCAAGTAGCTGGGACTGCAGGTCCACACCACTATACCTGGCTAATTTTGTATTTTTTGAAGAGGCAGGGTTTTACAACGTTGCCCAAGCTGGTCTGAAACTCCTGAGCTCAAGTGATCCGCCCCCCTCAGCCTCCTAAAGTGCTGGGATTATGGTGTGAGCCACCTTGCCCAGCCTTATGTCACTCTCAGTGGCATTTCTCGTACTTCCTGGTCCTAAGATTCTTGGTGTACACGTTGTATAATCCCAACTAGATATGAGAGCTATCAGATTAAGACTTTGCATCTTTACATCCCCCAGTACCTTTCAGAGTGTGAGTGCACACACACCATTTGCTAAGGAATGATTGCAGTGACAATACCAAGTTTAGGATCCCTTAAAATACCTATATCTTGGGCAGAGGTTGCATTGAGCTGAGATCATGCCGCTACACTCAGCCTGGGTGACAGAGCGAGACTCCATCTTCAAAAAAAAAAACAGTCCGGGTGTGGTGGCTCACGTCTGTAATCCCAGCACATTGGTAGGCCAAGGTGGGTGGATCACAAGGTCAGGAGTTCAAGACCAGCCTGGCCAACTTGGTGAAACCCTGTCTCTACTAAAAATACGAAAAAAAATTAGCCGGGCATGGCGGCGGGGCACCTGTAATCCCAGCTACTCAGGAGGCTGAGGCAGAGAATTGCTTGAACCTGGGAGACGGAGGTTGCAGTGAGCCGAGATCACGCTACTGCACTCCAGCCTGGGCGATAGAGCGAGATTCTGTCTCAAAAAAAAAACTACATCTTCATAGTGGACATATTTGACATCTACCCAACTTACAACCATTCCTCCTATAGATCATAGATTAGGCCCCAACAGCCATGTTTGTACCTCCTAAACCCCACCACCTTGGAATAGAGACTTACTTCTCAAAGTGTGATGCCACATTCCTCGTGGGGTCAAAGAAGCAGAAAAAATTGGTTTGCGGCCGGGCGCAGTGGCTCACGCCTGTAATCCCAGCACTTTGGGAAGCCGAGGCAGACAGATCACCTGAGGTCAGGAGTTCGAAACCAGCCTGGCCAACATGGCAAAACCCCATCTCTACTAAAAATACAAAAATTAGCTGGGTATGGTGGAGGGAGCTACTCGGGAGGCTGAGGCAGGAGAATTGCCTGAACCCAGGAGGCCAAGGTTGAAATGAGCCGAGATCGCACCGCTGCACTCCAGCCTGGGTGACAGTGCAAAACTGCATCTCAAAAAAAAAAAAAAGTAGGTTTGCACAGAGCTCCAAGAGTGAACAGATGAACAGAACAGAAAAAGCACTTTGCCAGCTCTCCCAGTCCTGCCTGTTTCTATCCATTCCCTAGGCTGAATACATTCCTGTCTGTGTTCCATATGTCTCCCCCCGCAACATTAAAATAAGTTTATTAAGTCTCCCGCCCCATATTTTAATCTAGCTTACATTGTCTTCTGTTACTTGGAACCAAGAGTCTTTTTTTTTTTTTTTGAGACGGAGTCTTGCTCTTTCACCCAAACTGGAGTGCAGTGGCACAATCTCGGCTCAATACAAGCTCCGCCTCCTGGGTTCATGCCATTCTCCTGCCTCAGCCTCCTGAGTAGCTGGGACTACAGGCACCCGCCACCATGCCCAGCTAATTTTTGTTTGTTTGTTTGTTTTTAGTAGAGACAGGGTTTCACCGTGTTAGCCAGGATGGTCTCGATCTCCTGACCTTGTGATCCACCCGCCTCGGCCTCCCAAAGTGCTGAGATTACAGGCGTGAGCCACCGTGCCCAGCTGGAACCAAGAGTCTTAATTAAACAATCATGATGGAGACCAAGCCCACATTTTTCAGGTCACCTAATCCTGGCCTCTCCATGATCCAGTAACCTGAGTTACAGCTTTCCTACCATAAGGACTTAGAGCTAATTTCTTAAAGCCTGTAGTGGAGGCTGAGGCGAGAGGATTGATTGACACAAGGAGTTTGAGTCCAGCCTAGGCAACATACCAAGACCCAGTCTCTTAAGTAAATTTTTTAAAAAATCAATTTAGTTTCCAAATGAGATCAACATATTAACATATTATATTTGATTGCTTTGCCTTTTTTTTTTTTTTTTGAGGTGGAGTTTCACTCTTGTTGCTCAGGCCGAAGTACAATGGCACAATCTCAGCTCACCACAACTTCCGCCTCCCAGGTTCAAGCGATTCTTCTGCCTCAGCCTCCTGAGTAGCTGAGATTACAGGCATGCACCACCACACCTGGCTAATTTTGTATTTTTATTACAGATGGGTTTCTCCATGTTGGCCAGGCTGATCTCGAACTCCCGACCTCAGGTGATCCGCCTGCCTCAGCCTCCCAAAGTGCTGGGATTACAGGCATGAGCCACCGCACCTGGCCCAGGTTTGATTTCTTTAAAAGAATTCTTCACAGGTGCTATTTACCTTTTTAAACATTATTTTTCTATTTTTGTTTTGTTTTTGAGACGGGGTCTCACCCTGTCACCCAAGCAAGAGTGCAGTGGTGCAGTCACAGCTTACTGCAGCCTCAAACCCCTGGGTTCAAGCAATTCTCCCACTTCAGCCTCCCAAGTACCTGGAGGTACAGGTGTGCACCACCACGCCCAGCTAATTTTTTTTTTTTTTTTTTTTTTAGAGACAAGGGTCTCACTATGTTGCCCAGGCTGGTCTCAAACTCCTGGCCTCAAGCGATCCTCCCACCTTGGCCTCCCAAAGTGGTTCCCACTTATAAGTGAAAACATTACAGGTGTGAGCCACCATGTCTCACTATTTACTTTTTATTCATCTCATCAAGAGAAGAGAAATTCATAACATTAACTACTTACGTTAGGGGCTACAGCCCCTACCGTAATTTTCTAATCAGGTAGTTTCTTCTATGCTTGGTTAACTGGAATTTGTGTGTGTGTGTGTGTGTGTGTGTGTGTGTGTGTGTGTGACAGAGTCTCACTCTGTCACCCAGGCTGGAGTGCAGTGACACGACCTCAGCTCACCGCAACTTCCTCCTCCCAGGTTCAAGCGATTCTCCTGCCCCGGCTTCCCGAGTAGCTGGGATTACGGCTGTGCACCACGACACCCAGCTACTTTTCTTTTGTATTTTTAGTAGAGATGGGGTTTCAACATGTTGGCCAGTCTAGTCTCGAAATCCTGACCTCAAGTGATCCACCTGCCTGGCCTCCCAAAGTGCTGGGATTATAGGTGTGAGCCACCGCACCCAGCCTAACTGGAATATTTCTATAAAGAATCTTCCCTCATCAACTCTTTGTTATCCTGAAGTACCTCAACCTCAGCCTCCAGAGGAGCTGGAACTACTCAAATAGAAAAGGCAGGATCAATTCTTTCCCTTTACTGACCAGTTTTCAGAATGAGTTGGTTTCCTGGGGCATCCTCTAGAGGTCAACAATGAATTCTTTTTAGTATTATCATGAACTGGTGGCTTTTTTTTTTTTTTTTTGAGACGGTCTCACTCTGTTGCCCAGGCTGGAGTGCAGTGGTGCGATCTCGGCTCACTGCAACCTCCGCCTTCTGGGTTCAAGCGATTCTCCTGCCTCAGCCTCCTGAGTAACTGGGACTACAGGCAAGTGCCACCACGCCCAGCTAATTTTTTCTATTTTAGCAGAGAGGAGGTTTCACCATGTTGCCCAGGGTGGTCTCGAACTCCTGAGCTCATAGAATCCACCCACTTTGGCTTCTCAAAGTGCTGGGATTACAGGCGTGCGCCACCATGCCTGGTGTTTTTTTTTTTTTTTTTTTTTTTTTTGAGACGGAGTCTCACACTGTTGCCGGGGCTGGTGTGCACTGGCGTGATCTCGGCTCGCCACAACCTCCACCTCCCGGGTTCAAGCGATTCTCCTTCCTCAGCCCCCTGAGTAGCTGGGACTACAGGCGCGTGCCACCACGTCTAGCTTATTTTTGTTTTGTTTTGTTTTGTTTTTTTGAGGCAGAGTCTCTGTCGCCCAGGCTGGAGTGCAGTGACGCTATGTCGGCTCACTGCAAGCTCCGCCTCCCAGGTTCACGCCATTCTCCTGCCTCAGCCTCCCGAGTAGCTGGGACTACAGGCTACCTGCCACTATGCCTGGCTAATTTTTTTTTTTTTTTTTTTTTTTTTTTTAGTAGAGTCGGGGTTTCACCGTGTTAGCCAGGATGGTCTCAATCTCCTGACCTGGTGATCCGCCCACCTCAGCCTCCTAAAGTGCTGGGATTACAGGCATGAGCCACCGCACCCGGACTGTATTTTTTTTTTTAGTAGAGACGGGGTTTCACTATGTTGGCCAGGCTGGTCTCAAACTCCTGACCTCGTGATCCACCTGCCTTGGCCTCCCAAAGCACTGGGATTACAGGCGTGAGCCACCGCGCCTGGCCAACTCATGGATTTTAAAAGCCTATTTGATGAGTTTCAGTCCACTGGAGTCAGGTCTTTTTTTTTTTTTTTTTGGAAGTGCTGTGATCGTGACTCACTGCAACCTCTGCCTCCCAGGTTCAAGCGATTCTCCTGCCTCAGCCTCCCGAGTAGCTGGGACTACAGGCGCGTACCACCATGGCCAGCTAATTTTTTTGTATTTTTAGTAGAGACGGGGTTTCCCCATGTTGGCCAGGATGGTGTCGATCTCCTGACATAATCCACCTGCCCCGGCCTCCCAAAGTGCTGGGATTACAGGCATGAGCCACCACCCAGCCCAAAGATTCTATATTATATATACAGTTTTCCACTTTTTTTTTCCTCTTAGCAAAACATCATGGAGTTCACTCCATAGCAGTATAGAGATACTCATTTCTATTCACAGCTGCATAGCACTCCAATGTAGATATACCTTGGTTTATTGCCAATGTTCTGTAGATGGACATTGTCTGAGTTATTTCCAGTCTTTTGCTATTTACACAGTGGGCTATAATGACTAGCCTTGGACATATATCTTTATTTTTGCCAATGTTATCTTTGGCTTAGACTACTAGAAATGGAATTGCTGGGTCAAAAAACACATGCATATGTCATTTTGTAGGACAGAATCAAATTCCCCTCCTGAAGAGGCAGCTGCTATAATGGTGCTTCCAGTGGTTCCTACTTCTGGGTAAATTGCCCCTTGACTGCAATTTACAGAAGTGATGGGAGTGGATGCAGAGGCTCCTGCCTGTAATCCTAGCACTTTGGGAGGCTGAGCCAGGAGGATCACTTGAGCCCAGCAGTCTGAGACTAACATAGGCAACACAGTGAGACCGCATCTCTACTAAAAATCATGAAAGTTAGCCAGGCATGGTAGCGTGTGCCTCTGGTCCCAGCAACTCAGGAGGCTGAGGTGGGAGGATTGCTTGAGCCCAGGAGTTTGAGGCTGCAGTGAGACATTCTACTCCACTCTACTCCAACCTGGGCGATAGAGCATGCCCTTGTCTTAAAAAAAAAAAAAAAAAAAAAAAACTGCTGGGATGTCACTTTCAAGATTAAGTACCAAAGGACTGTGACTTCTGTTTTGCTCTCATACATTCTCTGTCTGAGAGCTGGGAGCTTGTCTTTAAGTAGAAACCCACCCATCCCCAGGGAGAAGGCAGGAGGGAAAAGGAGGAGAGGTCACAGACAAGCCCCCTGACTCTGTTGATCTTCACTGCAGTAGCTTCTCATTACAAGCAGGCATCTGGCCATTGTAGACCATTATAACTGTAGTTCTAGAAGTAATAATAGCAGATTTATTGTACAGAAGTGTCCACGGGCTCACAATTCTAAGGACATCATCATGACAGCAAGTAGGAAAAAAAATTAAAGTAATTCTTTCACCAATTACCAGTTTATCTCTTCTCCAATTCCTTTGGATACGCCTCCTGCAAGAAGCCGATTTCCAGCTGTATGTGATAATGAAAGGGTTTTTCTTTCTTATGTTAAATACAAGCGAAGTGATTAACTGGAAGATAGCGTCTGATTGCGAGGAAATCAGTGATTCAGATGGTGTGGGAATGGCACCTGGGGATGGGGGAGGCAGGACGGAGATGGAGGAAGCTGGTGCAGCCTAGCCTGCCTTGTGCCAAGGACACCCAAGGGCAGAGGGACTGAGCTCTGGGGGAGGACAGATTTGACATAACTGGTCCAGCCTCACAGTTTACAGGTCCTGGAGGGTGAGGAAAGTGGGAGCTGGCTGCGGATGCAGGACAAGAACCCAGGGCTTCCCTTCATTTTGCCTGCCCTGCCACTTCCTCCCGCCACTTCCACCCTTCCTACCCCTCCACCTCCCTTGTGCCTTTCACTGCCTTTTACAGCATTTACATTACACTTCAGTAAAAAGTTGTGGTTTTGGCTGGTTTTTTTTTTTTTTAAATAAAAACAGCACTGAAGAAGTAGAAGGAAGATATTCAGGGTTTTTATTTTTATTTTTTGAGTCTGGGTCTCGCTCTGTCACCCAGGCTGGAGTACAGTGGTGAGATCATAGCTTACTGTAGCCTCGACCTCCCGGGCTCAAAGATCCTCACACCTCAGCCTTCCAAGTAGTTGGGACTACAGGCATATATCATCATGCCTGGCTAAATTAACTATTTTATTTTAAGAGATGTGGTCTAGCTATGTTACCCAGGCTGGTCTCGAACTCCTGGCTTCTAGCAATCCTCCCACCTCAGTCTCCTGAATCACTGGGATTACAGGCTGGGGCCATCATGCCCAGCTCTAGGTTTTTAAAATGTAGGCAAGGAGGTCAGCATTTACACAAAAGCAGGGTTTGATCTTAGGAAGCTTAATAAAGAGAGGGGTCTAATCAAGGTTTCCTGTAGGATCTGGGCTTTAAGTTAGGCCTTAAAGAACGAAGAATGTTTGTGGGTGTAGTAAGCAATGACTTGGAGCAGAGCCCTCTAGCCATTGGGCTCACCCTCACAGGCAGGCGCCACTGACCCTAGGGGGGTGTAGGCAGCTGGAGGAAGTACTGTGTGTCCCCCATTCCAGCGATGGTGGCCCCTCTCAGAGTCAATACCCTTCCTTCCAAGAGACTGAACATACAACTGGACAATGGCCAGGCCACATATGACAATAGACTCTGGCCAGAAACCCATGACCAGCCTGGGAAGCCAAGGAAGCCAAACCACAGCCTCAGCAGCAATCGGACCCAGAACAGTCTGAACTTAGTGGCTGCCAGCTTCTTCCCAATCCCCAGCCACCACACCCCCTCTTCCAACTCCAGACCAACCAGAGAAAGCCAAATATACCCCCCCAACCAACCAAAGATGCCCCTCCAGTTAGTCCGCTCTGTCCCCATGCCAACAATCTCCAATCACAGCACACCCAGAGCCTTCCCTTTTTTTCCACTATAACATTTCACAGTCCCTGCCTGCCTTTGACCCCTGCCAAATACAAGCAATCATGGCTGACTCCTTTGCAAACTTTGACCAAATGGCCTCTCTGCTCTTGTTTAGGTGGTTTTTATTTCCACATCTCCAACAGGGAGTCTGGAAACAAACTGACAATACTCGTGAAATCAACACCCAGATGAGGTAGACCAGCACTCCAGGATGCCCCTCCCCAGTATCCCTCCCCTGTTAACTGTTCCCCTGGCTTCTAACACCATGGATCAGTTTTGCTTATTTCTGTACTTTTTGTAGGAAGAGAATCATACAATGAATTCTCTCTTGATGATGAGGACTCTGACCTCTTTTGCTTGACCTCATGTCTGTGAAATTTATCCATGTTGCTGTGCATAGCGATATTTTCATTCATATTCGTTGCTGTGCAGTAGTATTCGACCCTGTGACTTCACTGTAGCTTCAACTGTGGATGGACATTTGGGTTGGTGGATGGACATTTGGGTTGTTTCAGGTTTGGGGCTACAGTCAGCGTGTGGTTAGAAACATTCTTGCCAATGTCTCGGTGGACATAGCTTTCTGTGGTGTACATACCCAGGAGTGGAACTGCTGGATCAGTTTATACGTATGTTCGGCTTTTGGTAGATACTGCCAGTTTTCCAACAGGGTCACACCAGCTTGGTCCATTCAGGTTACAATGAAACACCTTAGCCTGGGTAATTTGTAAACAACAAAAAATTATTTCTCACAGTTCTAGAGGCTGGGAAGTCCAAGATCAAGGTGCCAGCAGATCCAGTGTCCAGGGCGGGCTCTCTGCTTCAGAGATACGGTGCCTTCTCACTGCATCCACACATGGTAGAAGGGACAGAAGGGCTCCCTCAAGCCTGTTTTATAAGGTGCTAACCCCATTCATGATCTCCACCCTCATGACCTAACCACCTCCCACAGGCCCCACATCTTTATTATTTTTTTGAGATGGAGTCTCGCTCTGTCACCCAGGCTGGAGTGCAGTGGCACGATCTCGGCTCACTGAAATCTCCACCTACTGGGTTCAAGCTATTCTCCTGTCTCAGCCTCCCGAGTGGCTGAAATTACAGATGTACGCCATCACACCTGGCTAATTTTTGTATTTTTAGTACAGATGGGGTTTCACCATGTTGGCCAGGCTGATCTCAGACTCCTGGCTTCAAGTGATCTGCCCCCTGCCAGCATCCCAAAGTGCTGGGATTACAGTCATGAGCCACCATACCCAGCCCCAAAGGCCCCACCTCTTAATGCCATTGCTTTGGGGGTTAGGATTCAACATATGAATTCAAAGGGTACACCTACATTCACAACACAGCACTGACTTAGATTCCCTGCAAAACCCATGAGAGTTTCATTTCCTCCATATTTTCATCAGCATTTCATCTTGTCAGATTTACTCTCTATAGGTTCTAAGTATTATTCCCCCTCTGCTGATTTACTTATTATAAACAGTACATAACTGATCAGATAAACACTTGTCCCTTTGCCACCCCTAATGCCTGCCCCCACTTCATATTCCAGGAACACTCCATTAAACCACCCCCTACTGTACTGGTGGGTGGTGGGAGGGGGCTCATCGGGTGGGGTCTTTGCCGTATTATTCTGTGTCACTGAGGCCTATCACAGTGCTCTGCACATGTAGGTGCAAATATCTGTTGTATGATTACATAAAAGAATGATGTGAAAGCCTATTTGTCTGTACCACAATCATGAACGTCCCCAACCACTTGAAGGCACTCATAGTGTCTTAATCATCTTAGGCCTTCGATCTGGCATAGGTAACTCCTTTAATAAACAATGTCTGCTAAACCAAATGGCTTCCTGAGGCCTGGCATTTTAGGCTGTGTCCCCTGCCCCACCTCGCCCAGCCTGGGGCATTGAGCCTGGCTGGGCACACACGTGATAGTTGTAATCATATTGTCATAACATCCCTGAGACTACATTAATTACATATTGAGTGTTATAGTACTATTATAGCAGGTGGCAGATGTTGGCACACTGGGCAGAGATGTGTTGGTGTGAAAAACCTCTATGTACTTTAAAGACAGGGTCTCCCTCTGTTGCCTAGGCTGAAGTGCAGTGGTGCCATCATAGCTCACTGTAACTTCAAACTCCTGTGCTCAAGTGATCCTCCCACCTCAGCCTCCTGAGTAGCTGGAACTTGAGGCACATACCACCACACCCAGCTAATTTTTAAATTTTTTGTAGAGATAGGGTCTAGCTGTTACCTACACTGGTTTTGAACTCCTGGCCTCAAGCAGTCCTTCTGCCTTGGTCTCCCAAAGTGCTGGGATTATAGGTATGATCCACCACCTCCAGCCAAAATCTCACTTTAAGTGGGGTCCCTAACTCCAGACATGTGATAAGCTGTGGTTCACAGGCATAAAGAACATCCAGCCTGGGGCCCCGGGGTCAGAGTTTTCCCTCGCATTGTCCCCTGGGTCCTTCATCCCTCCTAATCTTGCAAACCAGCTGTCAATTGGGTTGAGATGGTATCTCTTTCATAGGGTCATTATGAGGATTAAATGACTTAATATATGTAAAGCACTTAGCTTAATGCCTGGCAGACAGTAAGGTATGGAGTAAGTTGTAACCCTTATTATTATTGCTGTTGCTGTTAGCAACAGAGTGAGGAATGCTAGGAGTGACCATGCCCAGCACCGAATGAGGCCTTCATAGCCTTGGGCTAAAAGAAAAAGAGCAGAAAGGTGAACACAGGGGAAGGCCTCAATTTCAACACAGATGCATTAGACCAAGGACTCTGAACTCACTTTCCCTGGAGGTGGGGGTGCTATCAGCTGCTTAATGGAGCATCATGGAAAATGTGGGACTCAAGGCCTGAAGGACTCCATTCCTAAGAGATGGGAGCAGGAGACATGCTACGGAGTTTGAATCTTGCCTAGCACAGGGATTTCTGCCTGCTGGAAGGGCTCTGTCAGGGCCTAGTGGAAGCCCCTGCCTCAGTGGGGCAAACTGCCACTGGACACACCCATCATTCATCATCACCTCTCTGGGACAGTAGTAGCAGCCAGGCACCTCCAAAGAGCTTGACAACAGAGGAACCCGCTTCGGCCCCTCCTCTGAAGACAGGATCCTGCGCTACTCCAACTCTGAACTGGTTCAAGGTGAGAGACGTCATCCACAGAGGCCACAAAACCAAGAGGTGGATGCCTCATTGTTACTTCATGCTGTCTGGGAGCAAAGAGAGGGCCTTAGGCACAAAATCCTCCAGACCCGCATCTGCCCCTTGGCTTTCTCAACCCTTCACTCTCCAACTTCTATAAATAACCTGTACAGTGGCCAGGCACCGTGGTTCACACCTGTAATCCCAGCATTTTGGGAGGCCAAGGCGGGCGGATCACTTGAGGTCAGGAGTTCGAGACCAGCCTGGCCAACATGGTGAAACCCCATCTCTAACAAAAATACGAAAATTAGCCAGGTGTGGTGGCGGGCATCTGTAATCCCAGCTACTTGAGAGGCTGAAGCAGGAGAATCACTTGAACCTGGGAGGCGGAGGTTGCAGTGAGCCGAAGTTGCACCACTGCACTCCAGCCTGGGCAACAGAGCAACACTCTGTCTCAAAAGAAAAGAACCTCTGCAGAATGAGGGGAAGCAGGGAAGCAGGCAGGGGTGAACAAGATGGCCATGAATTGATAATTACTGAAGTTGGGTGATGGGCTCATGGGGATTTGTTATTCTACTCTCTCTACTTTTTTGTGTTTGAAAGTTCATAATAAATAATGTTGCTCAAAGGAAGCTATTAATAGTTTGAGGCCAGGCAGGGTAAAGAGCATCTCCTAGATTTTTTTTTTTTTTTTTTTTTTTTTTTTTTTTTTTTTTTTTTAGAGATAGGGTCTTGCTTTGTTGCCCAGGCTTGTCTCAAACTCCTGGCTTCAAGGGATCCTCCCACCTCGGCTTCCCAAAATGCTGGGATTACAGGCACAAGCCACCACATCCAACCTCCCTCATATTTGACTAAGAAGTCTCATAAATCTGAGAACACCTAGCAAGGAATTAAGGCGAGGGTGTGGCACTGTTCTGGCTTCAGTCTATCACCAGGCAGAGTCCACGCATTCTTCCCAGGGAGAAAGAAGCAGTGACAGCTCTTGGGCTTTGAGGGAAATGATTCAGCGGGAGAAAGAAGGTGGAGAGGGGCTAATATGCAGATACCATTGCTGCAGGTGGCTCTGCCCCTAAGCACTGAGGAGGGCACTGGTCCCTCTGGCCCCACCCAGCCTTCACCCCAAGGTGAAGTACGCTTTCTCAGGTCCCCAAGGATGGGTGGCCAGGTCCCCCACTGGGAGTGGAGGTCTCACTCCCTTCCTTGGGTTCTGACCTCCACATTATCTGGCTGTGAGGGTGACCTGCCTGGCTTTCCCCACCAAGTGCAGCTCCCCGCAGCTGAAAGCCACACTCTCAACACAGGACTCCTGAGATCTGACACTGGCCAATTCACACCCTGCTTGAAGCTGGCATTTGAGAGGCCTTCAGGTTGACAACAGCAGCAACAAGTTTGCTGTTCAAAGTAGGCCAAGTCACGGCTTTGAGCGGCATCATTTGAAAAGTGCTGGGATCAGCCAGGCGCAGTGGCTCACTCCTGTATCCCAGCACTTTGGGAAGCCAACGCAGGTGGAGCACTTGAGGTCAGGAGTTCAAGAACAGCCTGGCCAACATGGAGAAACCCCGTCTCTACTAAAAATACGAAAATTAGTCGGGTGTGGTGGCAGGCCTCTGTAATCCCAGCTACTCGGGAGGCTGAGGCAGGAGAATTGCTTGAACCCGGGAGGCGGAGGTTGCAGTGAGCTGAGATCATGCCACTACACTCCAGCCTGGGCAACGGAGTAAGACTGTCTCAAAAAAAGAAAAAGGAAAAAAAAAAGTGGTGGGGTTTGGGTGCAGTGTCTCACATCTGTAATCCCAGCACTTTGGGAGGCTAAGGCAAGATCTCATGAGGCCAACCTGGGCAACATAACAGCATGACCTCATCTCTATAAAAAATTTAATTTGGCTGGGCGCGGTGGCTCACGCCTGTAATCCCAGCACTTTGGGAGGCCGAGGCGGGCGGATCACAAGGTCAGGAGATCGAGACCATCCTGGCTAACACAGTGAAACCCCGTCTCTACTAAAAGTGCAAAAAAATTAGCCAGGCGTGGTGGCAGGCGCCTGTAGTCCCAGCTACTCTGGAGGCTGAGGCGGGAGAATGGCCTGAACCCAGGAGGTGGAGGTCGCAGTGAGCTGAGATCGCGCCACTGCACTCCAGCCTGGGTGACAGAGCAAGACTCCATCTCAAAAAAAAAAAAGAAAAAAAAATTTAATTAGCCAGGCATGGTGACAGGTACCTGAAGTCCTAGTTACTCAGAAGGCTGAGGCAGGAGGATCGCTTAAGCCCGGGAGTTTAAGGATACAGTGAGTTATGATTGCACCACTTCGCTCCAGGCTGGGTGATTCTCTAAAAAAAAGAAAAAAGAAAAAGATGGGAGGATGGGAGGCGGGGCTAGGGGACTGGGAAGGTCCCTCAACCCTTTCTACATGCCTTACCCAGGGTATCTCCCATCATGGCTGGTTACTGTGCTAAAATTATAATTTTTTTTCTTTGAGACAGAGTATCACTCGGTCACCCAGGCTGGAGTGCAGTGGTGCGATCTCAGCTCACTACAACCTCCGCCTCCTGGCGGGCTCAAGTGACTTATCTTCCCACCTCAGCCTCCCATGTAGCTGGGACTATAGATGGGCGCCGCCATGCCCAGTTACTTTTTGTATTTTTTACCTAGGCTGGTAGTGTGCTAACATTCTACCACTTGGGCAACAGTCTTCGGGGCTACATACTGCCTTTTTTTTTTTTTTTGAAACAGAATACCACTCTGTCGCCCAGGCTGGAGCGCAGTGGCACAATCTCGGCTCACTGCAACCTCCGCATCCTGGGTTCATGGAATTCTCGTGCCTCAGCCTCCTGAATAGCTGGGATTACAGACGTCTGCCACTACACCTGGCTAATTTTCTTATTTTTGTAGAGACGGGGTTTCACCCTGTTGGCCAGGCTGGTCTTGAACTCCAGACCTCAGGCGATCTGCCCACCTTGGCCTCCCAAAGTGCTGGGATTACAGGCGTGAGCCACTGCGCTCGGCCCATGTTGCCTTTTTGAGATACTTTTTTCAAAGCTACCCTGGAACGGTAATACAATAAAACTAGTACCTGTGCATAAATTGTTAACTGACCTGCCCAGCATGGGTACCTAACTGGGGTTTAGGGTAGGGGGACAGAGGGCTTTTTAAGATTGGTGGTGGGGGATGGGGATTAATACAGACAGCTCGGGTAGGGTCCACTCCTGGTTCCAGGGTGCAGGTTGCTGGACTTGGAGCATGGGATGAAGAGATGTTCAGAGATAGAGATCATTAGGTTGCTGAACTCCCCTAGGGCAGTGGAGTGAAAAAGCTGTAGCAGCCAAGGCAGGGTGTAGATCCCTGGAGGCTGACGGCTTGGGGTGGGGCCACAGTGAGCCCAGCCCCTGATGGCTCTAGTTCTTGTCCCTTGCAGAGCTCAGAAATGGAGGTGGCTCCTGTGCCTTGTCCAGCAATGGTTCCCTGAAAAGAACCCATAAGGATACCCCCAATCCACCCCAATGTGTTTCTGGTGTTATTGTAGATAATCTCCCCAACAGTGGGTGAGCTTGGGGTGAGGGAACCTGGCTGCTGGGAGTGGAAACGCCCTATATCCTCCATCCTGTACAGCTGCCCAGTGGACATACCTCTCTCCCCAGCAATTTCTCAAGGCACAAGATAAAGTAAGGGGCAAATACAAAGATAAAGCTGTGAGGCAGGAGGGTCTGAGTCTGCCTCTAAAGGAGTAGCCAAGACTCCTGTTTCTCTGCATTTTTCTTTTTCTTGAGACAGGGTCTCGCTCTCTCACCCAGGTTGGAGTGCAGTGGCACGATCCTAGCTCACTGCAGCTTCAAGCTTCTGGGCTCAAGTGATCCTCCCACCTCAGCCTCCCAAGTAGCTAAGACGACAGGTGCACCACCACGCCTGGCTAATTTTTTAAACTTTTTTGTAGAGATGGGGTCCCTGTTGCCCAGCATGCCTGGACCCTCAACACTTAATAGTGATAATAACATATATCCAACCCTTGGTAAATGCCAGGACTCATCCTAAGACCTACATCGATAAACTCCTTTAATCTTCACAACACTGGGAAATATATATATATACTTATCCTCCTTTTACAGGTGAGAAAACTAAGGGACAGACAGATAAATCCCTTGCCCAAGGTCACAGAGCTGGTGAGAGGCAGGTTGGGACGCAGGCCTAGGCTGCCTGTGCTGCAGAGCTGCACCCTTGACCACTGTGCACTCTGCCTCTCATGCCCTCAGCTCTACCAGGTTGGGCAGGAGAGAGATGGGAGAAGCAGTGGCCACTTGCTCTGGGCCAGGCACTTGGCAAACACCTGTAGGTTCAATCTCAGAAGAACCCAGTGAAGAATGAGCCAGATACTCACTGTCCACGTGGAGAAGCAAGACCAGAAGTCTGACATCTGCCAAAGCCACACAGCCCCGGAAGTGAGGGAGCTGAAATCCAAACCTCTGCCTGAGCTCTGCCCACCAGGTGTCTCCTCCCCAGCCCATGTAGGGAGCTGAAGAGAATGGAGACCAGAGGGGAGGGAAAGAGGAGGCTGGAGAGGAGCTCCACAGGTCTTCCTCAGGCCTGACAGCTGCCCCTGGCTTCCCTGAGGTCCACAGGAACCTCCAGACCTTCCCAGGATTGCCCAGCAGGGGAGGGGGCCCAGTGGGGCAGGAACTCAAGGCAGTTGGGCTCCTGGAGAGCAGCCACCCTGCCGCTCCTGCCTGCCTCAATGCAACGGTCTCAGGCTGGGCTGCCAGGATGGGAGGCAGGTCTTGTGGAGTCGCCCACACACCACATACCTGCCCTGAGGCCTTCAGGGACCAATGCAACAGGAGAGGCATTCCCAAGCACCACATGTTCCAGTGGTCCCTCCTGCTCCACCTGGGCCAACAGGGCTGAGGCCTGGAGGAGGAAGCTCCTCTGGAGGACATGGATGATAACCTGGATTGCCAGTGGGGAAGGTCTGGAGCACTGGGGGCAGCCCAGGACCCAGAAAGCCAAGGACGGGGACCCACACAAGGCACCGTGGGGACAGAGATGCTGCTCTCAGGACTTGGTTCAGCCAAGGCATGTCCTGCTGCCAGGCCTGCAGTCCCTTAACTCCCCTCTGACCCAGCCTCCACAATCCCCAAGAAAGGGACAAGGGGCTTCGGAGAGGGGCCAGGTGTACTGCAGGAACGGAACAGATGGGTGGTGGGAAGAGCCCAGGGCTTCACTAGTGCAGACGCCGCCGGTACAGCACCACCAGGAGTGTGACTACCAGCACCCCTGTCACAGCCACCTGGAGCCACAGAGCCCCAGGTGAGGGCCTGTGGCATGGCACCTCCCTCTCCTGGAACTTCCGGTCGGCTTGTGGCCTGGGGCCGCCATCCGGGTCCGCAGGTGGCCCAGGGTTGCCCTCCAGGAGCTGGATGCTGGGGTTCTCAGCCACGTGGATCCCAAAGGTGCCCTCGGACTTATACTCATTCTCCTCTGGGCCATGGCAGGGCCCCATGCCCAAGGAGGTGCTGGCACTGATGGCAAGATCCTCGAAGCAGCCCGAGAACGGGCTGTCTACCTGGGATGCCAGCACGCCAGGCTTACTCAGCTCCGACCCAAGGCCCCTATTCTCAGAGCTGCTGTCTAGCCAGGCTGAGCTGCCTCCAGTGGCGCCGGCGGGTGTTGGAGCTGCTGGGGTCTCCTGGGAAAGAAAGGAGAGCACTGGAAGGGACTGGGGTTGGCAGGGAGACGAACCTGGTAGGGCGGTCCCATTCCCAGGCCAGGGCATGAACTAACACTCCAACCCCTCAATTCCCAATCTATAATGCCCCTAGGCCACCTTTTCTTGGAGCAGTGGGGGTAGAGGGGACCAAGAATCTGCACCAATGGTGGCCTCCTCCAGGGCAGCCTTTCCCTACTCCCTGGCCTGCCTGTGAGCTCATGCCCACCTGGAAGCCTTTGGTAGGGCGGGGCTCCATCCTGCACTGACATCCTGCCTGGGCCTGAGAACTAGAGAGCAGCCACAGGGTCAGAGGCCTGGCCATGTGCCCAAAGGGCCCTATGGACTTGGCTCTTCCCAGCAGACAGCCGCAGCTAGGGTTAGATGTGAGGCTTGGAGCAGGCAACAATGGGGGGCTGCTGGGTCCGAGTGGCTGCTCCAGGTGGGACTGCGTTCTGTAAAGCCTGGCCATGGAGGGACACACCAGGCATCCTGGTGAAGAGCAAGGCAAGAGGCAGATGGGCCACTGTGCTGTCCCCGTCACTGCTTCCTTATGTGCAAAACGGCACCGCTCGGCTTCACTAGGAACTACGAGCCCTAAATGAACTTATACACCTGACCAGTGGGTGCCCCCTGTGGCTGACCCTCCTGAGGTGTCCAGACTTAGAAGCTCAATGACTGTTCCTCCTGGAGAACATGGTGTGGGGCCTGCATGAGGCTGGTTCTCAACTGTCTGTATGCCCTCAAGGAGAGGCCACAGAGCAGCACAGGCTGGACACAGAATGCAGACTGGGAAGGGGCCAAGGCCAGGGCCAGGTGGGCAAGCTGTCCCGGGGGAAGGGGCCAGGATCCCTGCCAGGAAGGGCGAGGACTCACCTCATTTCTGCTGCTCCCGTCAGTGGGGACTGTGCTGGCAGACACCTTGGTGAGCACCATGCTAGTAGGCACTTTGGATGGCACCATGCCAGCACGGGTTGAGTTGATGGGCAATTTGGATGGTGCTGGATTGGTGAGCGCATTAGAAGGCACTGCACCAGGGGGCTTTGAGCTAGTTGGCAACTTGGAGGGCACTGTGCTGACAGATGCTGGGTTGGCAGGCACTTTCAGGGCCACTGTGTTCACAGGCATCAAGGTGGTAGGCACTTTGGAGGGCAGAGAGTTGGCAGGTGCCTCTGCCCCACTGGAGCAGATGATAGGCTCGGCCTGGTCACTCTCTGCACCCTGTTTACCCTCTGCAGCCCCTGCAGAGGCCAAGCCAGGGGATGAGGAGGAGAAGGAGGTGCCAGTAGATACAACTGACCCTGTGGGTCCAGGCAAGCGGCTTGCCCTGGGGGTGGAACGGGCCAGGGGCTGGAAGGAGACAGATGGAGACACAGGCCCACGGGATGGTGTGAGGCTGGAGGTCGCACCTGCCGGTGGAAAAACACAAGTGGAAACACAGACCCAAAGACCATTACCTTGAGGCCTGGAGAAGGGTCCCTCTGGCCCAGATCTCATGGTCCCTACTGTGTCTAGGCCTCCAAATCTCCTGCCCTTGGAGGAGATGCCACAGTCCCTTTGGTCACTGCTTCCTGGCCTGAAAGCCCAACAGCTGCCCTCAGTCCTTGACCTGTAGCCCCAGGTCTGTCCTGGCACACAGTGAAATGGTACCTAGGAGCCTGAAGACCATTATTAATTATTCTCTCCGCTTTTTCCTCTCCCACCTGGGAAACCTCCCCTCTCCTGTGTCTACCTTTTCTACTTTGACCTTAGCCTCATGCAATCCTGGACACTTCCCCCACTGCTGTCCCTCTCCTACCACCATGAGTGGGAGCAGCCATGGATCAGGGCAAGGGGTGGCAGGATGGCTCATGCAGAACAGCTCACACCAGCCGAGAGGCCTGGCCATCCCGGAGGCTTGGGAAGAGAGGGGACAAGGACAAAGCCACCCCTGGGAGGCTGCCTGACCTGGGTGGGGGAAGCAGAGGATAGCAGGTGGTGATGGTCTGTAAAGGCAGTTGCAGCAGGACTCTCCACGGAACTCGGAATGCACATGCCAAGCCCCACAGCTGGCAAAAGTCAGGGTGATTCTGATGTACAGCTCCCCCACCACAATCTAATACCACAGAATCTCATGGGACCTGTGTCTACAAACGTACTGAAACCTAAGCGCCCTCTGCCTCTGTGGTCTACAGCAACTCCTGAAAGGCATCCCGTGGCCAGGTGACACTGCAAAGCAGACAGGTGCTTGGAGCAGTTTGGGGATGACAAAAGTACTAAGATGACGTCTCCCAGCCTCTAACTGCTCATGTGTCTTGTGGCTGTCCCAGGGCACTGAGGGCTGACTGGGCACCAGCGTCATGTGGAATAGTTTGGGAAGTAGGAAAGAGACATGCTGGCCTGAGAGGTCCAGATGGACAACTATATATTTCTGAGGGGGAGCACTGACATCTGGAGTTGAGTCCAGGCCACTGGATGATGAAGACCTTACTTCCTCTGGGGACTGAGAAGTTTTCATGATTCACTGGGAACTGGAGATCTCTGCGGTAAGACAGTGCCTAAAGGTTCCCCTGCCAACAGCTGATGCAGCCCTTCACTGTCCCTCTCCCACTGCCCTATAGGCCCTGGCTGTTCCCTACAGTCCCTTTGGCAGAGCGCAAAAATGGCCCTACTTATCTCGCTCATCTCCACCCAGCCCCACTGCACTGTGCCTGTCAGTCCTCCCGTCTAGGGAGGGAGTCTATTTCCCTACTCCTTGAATCTAGGCTGGCCTTATAACTTGCTTTTGCCCACAGAATGGAGCACAGGGGACACTGTGCCAGTTTTGAGCCCTCTCTGAGAACTCTGCCCAGCTGCCATGATGGGTTTGTGTGCTGGAGGATGAGAGACTACATAGAAGAGAACCAAGGTGCTCAGCAAACAGCCAGAGGCAGAACTTATGTATATACCGGTGAGTACTTGAGAGGAAATTCAGCCAAGACCAGAAGAAATGCCCATGTAGGTAGCCCAAATGCCTGACCCACAGGATCATATGCTAAATAAATGGCTGTATTTTAAGCTACTAAAAAAAAAATTTGGAAAACTGGAGTGGACTATTTGTTACACAGCAAATGCTAACTGATACACCCACTAAGGAACTGGTTTGCTTCCTGGGTTGAACTCCCTTTATTCCCACCTTGTCTCCTGTTCAAGGAAGCCAGATGGGGCAACTCTAATTCTTACCCTCACTTGAGAGATCAGAAGGACCCTATAATTCCAGATTCCATGCATACCTGCTGTGTGGGTACTGCCCAGTTCTGTGTCCTGCTCCTGATGCCCGCTGGAGGTCAGAGGGCTGAGGGCTGCCAGGTCAGAGGAGGACTCCAGGGGGCCACCATCTGGATTCCTTGGGATGGCTCTGGGGCTGAGCGTCTGCAGGGCTTGCTCTGAATTCTGCAATGAGGGAAAATATGAATAAGGCAGTTGCCTCTCCCAAGAGCTCACAAAGGGCAGCTTGTGCTCTTGGGGCATCTCCTATAGGCCTCAGCCCACACCATGGAGCACAGGAGCCAGGGGAGCCCTTGCCTGGGTTCTGGTAATTCCCAGACCCTCTGTCCACAGGTGTCCTTACGTCTACCTCACAGAAAACACACAGCATTGCCAGGTGCGGTGGCTCACGCCTGTAATCCCAGCACTTTGGGAGGCAAAGGTGGGCAGATCACCTGAGGTCAGGAGTTCGAGACCAGCCTGGCTGACACGGCAAAACCCCATCTCTACTAAAAATACAAAAATTAGCTGGGCGTGGTGGTGGGTGCCTGTAATCCCAGCTACTCAGGAGGCTGAGGCAGGAGAATGACCTGAACCCAGGAGGCAGAGGTTGCAGTGAGCCAAGATCACTCCACTGCACTCCAGCCTGGGTGACAGAATGAGACACTGTCACACACACACACACACACACACACAAAACTGTGGTCTCCCAGCTGGTTGCTGACAGAGGATTAGGGCTGCCACAGGGTGAAGACCTGGTCAGCAGCCTGGAAGCTGGTCTGGGGCAGATCCCCACTGAGGAAGCCCTAGGGTTCTGAGCAGAGATTAGGCGTGATTTATAGGGGACGGGAGAGGGTTTCTGGAAGGCTCAATGGGCAGAAGTGGGCAGATAGGAACACAAAAGTGGTGGCTCAAGGTAGACTATGAGGACAGACCTCTCCTGGGGACTCTGGCGCCTGGGTCTCCTGGACAGGCATGGGGTAACTTGGCTCCTTCTCTCTGCAGCTGTTGTAGGGGATGCTGTGGGCCGCAGCAGGTGTGGGGGGCCCTGGCCTCTCAGCAGGAAGTGACGGTGGCTCCAGTGGGTCTGGGGGACGGTCCGAGGTCCCTAGAGGACAAAGATGTAGTGATATCAAGAAGGAATCAGGGCTGGGCACAGTGGCTCATGCCTGTAATCTCAGCACTTTGGGAGGCCAAGGCAGGCAGATCACGAGGTCAGATCGAGACCACCCTGGCTAACACAGTGAAACCCCATCTCTACTAAAAATACAACATTATTATTAGCCGGGCATGGTGGCGGGCCCCTGTAGTCCCAGCTACTCAGGAGGCTGAGGCAGGAGAATGGCGTGAACCCGGGAGGCGGAGCTTGCAGTAAGCCAAGATCGCGCCACTGCACTCCAGCCTGGGCGACAGAGCGAGACTCCGTCTAAAAAAAAAAAGAAAGAAAAAAAAAGAAGGAATCAGGGGCTGGGCACGATGGCTCATGCCTGTAATCCCAGGATTTGGGGAGGCCAAGGCAGGTGGATTAGGAGGTCAGGAGTTCAAGACCAGCCTGGCCAACATAGTGAAACCCCGTCTCTACTAAAAATACAAAAATTAGCCAGGCGTGCTGGCAAGCACCTGTAATCCCAGCTACTCAGGAGGCTGAGGCAGAAGAATTGCTTGAACCTGGGAGACGGAGGTTGCAGTGAGCTGAGATCGCGCCACTGCACTCCAGCCTGGGCAACAGAGCAAGACTCCGTCTCGGGGGAAAAAAAGAAAAAGAAGCCAGACGTGGTGGCTCACGCCTGTAATCCCAGCACTTTGGGAGGCCGAAGTGGGTGGATCACCTGAGGTCGTGAGTTCGAGACCAGCCTGACCAACATGGAGAAACCCTGTCTCTACTAAAAATAACAAAATTAGCCAGGCGTGGAGGCGCATGCCTGTAATCCCAGCTACTCGAGAGGCTGAGGCAGGAGAATTGCTTGAACCTGGGAAGTGAAGGTTGCCATGACCTGAGATTGCACCATTGCACTCCAGCCTGGGCAACAAGAGCGAGACTCCGTCTCAAAAAAAAAAAAAAAAAATAGAAGGAATCAGGGACTATAGGGAGGCTGAGGAAGGAGAACCACTTGAACCCGGGAGGCAGAGGTTGTGGTGAGCCGAAGTCATGCCACTGCACTCCAGCCTGGGCGACTGAGCAAGACTCTGTCTCAAAAAAAAAGGAATTGGGGGTTCTCCTCATGATTAAAGAGGCTTGGGTGCTCTTGGGTACACCCCCCGCCCCACCCATAGGTCCAAAAGCTGTTCTGATGTGGGCCCACTCCTCAAGAGTGACAAGCAGGGCTGGGCTTGGTGGCTCACGCCTGTAATCCCAGCACTTTGGGAGGCCGAGGCGGGTGGATCACGAGGTCAGGAGATCGAGACCATCCTGGCTAACACGGTGAAACCCCATCTCTACTAAAAAATACAAAAAGTTAGCCGGGCATGGTTGCAGGCGCCTGTAGTCCCAGCTACTCGGGAGGCTGAGGCAGGAGAATGGCGTGAACCCGGGAGGCGGAGCTTGCAGTGAGCTGAGATGGCACCACTGCACTCCAGCCTGGGCGACAGAGCGAAACTCCATTTCAAAAAAAAAAGGAGTGACAAGCATCACTTGGCAAGGGGGCAGGAGTGGGAGGGTGAGAGCAGATGGAGGACAAGGTAGCAAGGGAGGAAGGGGAGTATGGGGGGGCCTCGTGGGTCTCTAGTCACCCACGCCGTGTCAGCAGTCACTCTTCTCTGTCCCCAGGCATCCTAGGACCCAGTGGCTTTCTCCTCCACATGACTATCATTGCTCACTGACCCCTGCCCTGATGCTGCCACCTGAGCCCCTCCCCTTTGCCCCCACCCCTCATCAGGCCCTACCACAGCCATTGTATTCAGGGGATCACTATTTTTGGGTTTTTTTTTTTTGGAGACGGAGTCTCACTCTGTCATCCAGGCTGGAGTGCAGTGGCGCAATCTCGGCTCACTGCAACCTCCACCTCCCCGGTTCAAGCAATTCTCCTGCCTCAGCCTCCCAAGTAGCTGGGATTACAGGCTTGCACCACCATGCGCAGCTAATTTTTTTGTATTTTTGGTACAGACAGGGTTTCACCATATTGGCCAGGCTGGTCTCGAACTCCTGACCTTGTGATCCGCCCGCCTCGGCCTCCCAAAGTGCTGGGATTACAGGCGTGAGCCACCGTGCCCAGCCAGGGATCACTATTAATCTCCACACATGAAGAGACATATTTAAAAAGAAGGAAGGAAAAAAAGGAAGGAAGAGAGGAAGGGAGGGAGGGAGGGAGGAAAAGCAAGGAAGGGAAAAAGGAGAGAAAAGCAAGCATGAGAGCCAGACGCGGTGGCTCACACCTATGATCCCAGCACTCTGGGAGGCCGATCGCTTCAGCCCAGGAGTTTGAGACCAGCCTGGGCAACATAGTGAGATGTCATCTCTACAAAAAATTTAAAAATTAGCCAGGTGTAGTTGTCCATGCCTGTAGTCCCAGCTACTCTGGAGGCTGAGGTAGAAGGATCACTTGAGTCCAGGAGGTCAAGGCTGCAGTGAGCTATGATTGCACCACTGCACTGCAGCCTGGGTGGCGCAGCAAGACTCTGTCTCTAAAAGGAAAAAAAAAAAAGAGAGAGAAAGAAAAGAAAAACATGGATGTCCCACAGCTATAAATGTGACCAGGGTCTCGGGGGTTACCTCTAGTTTGAAATATAAATAGGGCTGGCTTGATTTTTTTTCCCATGTCTTTTTTTTTTTTTTTTTGAGATGGAATCCCACTCTGTCGCCCAGGCTGGAGTGCAGTGGCGCGATCTCAGCTCACTGCAACCTCTGCCTCCCTGGTTCAAGTGATTCTCCTGCCTCGGCCTCCTGAGTAGCTGGGACAACATGCCCGGCTAATTTTCTGTATTTTTAGTAGAGACGGGGTTTCACTGTTTTAGCCAGGGTGGTCTCCATCTCCTGACCTCATGATCCGCCTGCCTCGGCCTCCCAAAGTGCTGGGATTACAGGTGTGAAACACCGCGCCCAGCCTCCTCCCATGTCTTGATCTCACTCAGGATCAAACTCAATCTCATCAAATCGCCTCCGAGCACTCAGAGTGGCAGGGACACTGAGAGGGACTTAAAGAATAACTGGGCAGCTGATAGAGGGCGTCGAAGGCTCTCAGGGTAAACCAGGGGAGGGGAAGAGAAGGAGGAGAGAGGGAGGGTGAATGAGTAGGTGGGGGAGAAGAAATGAGGAAGGGTGGGAGGCGAATGCTACAGCCGTGAAAGTTAGGGGAGACTCCATGTGCTGGGCATACAGGAAGTGCCCAGCCCAGCTCAATACTCAACACGCATCGTCCCGCAGTATCACCCACTGCAGCTCCCCGCGGCAGATGCTGCCATGAGCTTCATTTTACAGAAGAGAGGCCTGAGGCTCAGGGAAATTAAGGGACTTGGCCAAAGGGACACAGCTGGTAAGTGGCTCAGCCTGGATCTACACCCAGGTTTATTCATCGCTTCACAGTGACAAGAAAGAGGATGACAGAGAAAGGCAGGAAGTACAGGGAGAGAGAAAAGGAGAGCGGAGGCCAGGGAGCAGGCTGGGGGTCCAGGAGGGCAAGGGCAGGACGCTCACGAGGCTGGTAGCTCTGGTAGACAGAGGCCACTTCGTCCGCGAGATCAACTAGCTCACAGCCCCTCAGTGCCGCAATGAAGTACTCCACCCAGCCGGGCCGCCGCTGAAGGGTATTGAAGAGATGCCAGAGGGTGTCCCGGTTCCCTGAGAGTGTGCAGGTGGCCCGCAGTCGATCCTGGAAGACACAATGCCACTGTCCTGCTCAAGCCAGGTGGCCCCTGCCACTTCCCCACCCAGAATGAAGCCACAGCGGGGGGAGGGGTGCCAAGAAAGCCACAAGGGCAAGGCAGCCACGTGAAACTGGATCGGAGCCCAGGACAGGGCCAGGTATGGAGTGAGGAAGAGCAATTAGCAGCCACATCAATAAAGGCAGCTGCCGGAAACTGGCAATTAACTATGTCCTGGGCTCTCCATTAAGGGCTTTGCATGTATCATCTTTATTTAATGCCATTATTATCTCCACTTTACTAATGAGGAAACTGAGGCTTAGCAGAAGCAAAGTACTGTAGCAAAGATCCTAAAACAGTGGGGCAGGAATCCAAACCCAGTTAATCTGATACAAAAGCCTTGGATTAATATGGCCCCCAGGGCAAAAAGAAAGGTTTGGATTAGGAGAGAAGGAAAAGGTAGATAGCAAAAGTATGATGAAAGGGGCAAAAGACGGAAAGAGAGGGGGCCGACAATAACAAACAAGGAAGCTGAGAATGCTGGGGAGATTGTGGGCAGATGACAGTGGCTGCAGAGTTTTTTTGTTTCTTTTTTTTTTTTTTTTTTCAGACGGAGTCCCACTCCGTCGCCCAGGCTGGAGTGCAGTGCCGTGATATCAGCTTACTGCAACCTCTGCCTCCTGAGTTCAAGCGATTCTCCTGCCTCAGCCTCCCGAGTAGCTGGGATTACAGGAGCCCACCACCACACCCGGCTAATTTTTTTGTATTTTTAGTAGAGACATGGTTTCGCCATGTTGGCCAGGCTGGTCTCGAACTCCTGACCTCAGGTGATCCACCCGCCTTGGCCTCCCAAAGCGCTGGGATTACAGGCGTGAGCCACCGTGCCCAGCCCTAGAGTTTTTATGTCTACCTGAATTCTCACATAAAAACAAGCAACCAGACAGCAGAAACAAAAACCCACAGAATCCTGCAGGAGCTAGATTTTTAGAAAAAGGAAAATAGCCAGGTGCGGTAGCTCACACCCGTAATCCCAGCACTTTGGAAGGCCGAGGATCACAAGGTCAGGAGTTCAAGACCAGCCTGACCAACATGGTGAAAGTCCGTCTCTACTAAAAACACAAAAATTAGCCGGGTGTGGTAGCATATACCTGTAATCCCAGCTACTCAGGAGGCTGAAGCAGGAGAATTGCTTGAACCCAGGAGGCAGAGGTTGACCCAAGATGGCACCACTGCAACTCCAGCCTGGAAGACACAGCGAGACTCCATCTCAAAAAAAAAAAAAAAAAAAATGCTGGGCGCAGTGGCTCACGCCTGTAATCCCAGCACTTTGGGAGGCCGAGGCGGGTGGATCATGAGGTCAGGAGATCGAGACAATCCTGGCTAACACAGTGAAACCCCGTCTCTATTAAAAATACAAAAAATTAGCCGGGCATGGTGGCAGGCGCCTGTAGTCCCATCTACTCAAGAGGCTGAGGCAGGAGAATGGCGTGAACCCAGGAGGCAGAGCTTGCAGTGAGCCGAGATCACACCACTGCACTCCAGCCTGGGCGACAGAGTGAGACTCCGTCTCAAAAAAAAAAAAAAATCGTGCCACTGCACTCCAGCCTGAGTGACAGAGCAAGACTCTGTCTCAAAAATAAAAATAAAGACCAGCCTGGCCAACATGGTGAAACTCCATCTCTACTACAAATACAAAATCAGCCAGGTGTGGTGGCATGCGCCTGTAACCCCAGCTACTCAGGAGGCTGAGGCGCGAGAATCACTTGAACCCAGGAGGCAGAGGTTGCAGTGAGCTGAGATCATGCCATTGCACTGCAGCCTGGGCAACACAGCGAGACTCCGTCTCAAAAAAAAATTTTTTAAAGAAAATAAAGAAAACCCACAGAAAATATTTACTATAAAACAAGATATCCCTATAAACCCCAAAATACAAGAGGGAGGAGCAAACTCCAAACAGACCTGCATACTAATGCGATCTGTGTGGGAGGACAGCGGAGACAACAATGGGGCTCCTGAGAAATCTGAGGACAGGAGGCCCCAAAAGAGCCAACAGGTACCCTCTGGAGCACAGGGGTCCAATCTGAGAACAGCAGCTACAACGGGGAGGGGTTGTGCCCGTTTCACCAGCTAGTGAGTGCCAGGGGCCTGCAGCAAGTTCTGTTGGGGCTAGAGCGACCCTGATCCTGCCAGCTCTCAAACCTGAGTCCCAGCTCCGTGCCAGGACAGGGCCCCATGACAAGGAGAATGGAATCAAAACTGAGCAGGACAAGGAAGGGCAAGAGAGATGAAGGAAATAGGAGGTTCCAAAAAAAGTGGGCAAGTGGACCAGAGCCAGGAAATCTCAGAGAGCCAGCGCCATATTTTTGAGCAGTGCACAAAAGCAACACAAGGGGGAGCTCGGCGAAGTCAGCAACGCCACCCTGAGCCACACTCCATCCAAAAGTTAGAAAAGCAGCAAGGGTGCGGTGGCTCACGCCTGTAATCCCAGCACTTTGGGAGGCCGAGGCAGGCGGATCACAAGGTCAAGAGATCAAGACCATCCTGGCCAACATGGTGAAACCCCGTCTCTATTAAAAACAAAAAAATTAGCTGGGCGTGGTGGCACGCACCTGTAATCCCAGCTACTCAGGAGGCTGAGGCAGGAGAATCACTTGAACCCAGGAGGCGGAGGTTGCAATGAGCCAAGATCGTGCCACTGCACTCCAGCCTGGCGACAGAACGAGACTCAATCTCAAAAAAAAAAAAAAAAAAGAAAAGCAGCAAGGACAAGGAGCAAGACACAGCAAGAGGAAGAAGGAAGGAGCCAGCCCAGGCTTGGGTGAGGAACTAGGATGGGGCTGAGCTTTGAATTCCACAGCCCTGCCCCCAGGCCAGTGTCGGGCTGTCACTTCCCTTGCTCACCTGGTCTCTTGCTGTGAGGCAGGGCAGGTAAGGCAGAATCTCTACAACATCCACATTGCAAAAATTGCTGAAATTGCGGCAGATATACTTATAGGTCTTGTCTTCAGCAAACGGCATTGCTGCTCAGATTCTGGAGAGAGGGCTCTGGCCCCATGAAGGGTGGATGGACTGAGAGGAAACGAGACTGGAAGAAAACAGATCACACATTACAACAGGGTTGGGGGGTTGGGAGTGGGGCTGGACAAAAGGCAATTCTTTCTCAACTTTTTGGAATGTTTGTTTTCTTTCATCTTTAATTTCTTCTTTTTTTTTTTTTTGAGAGCGAGTCTCACTTTGTCACCCAGGCTGGAGTGCAGTGGGGCAATCTCGGCTCACTGCAACCTCCGCCTCCTGGGTTCAATTGAGTCTCTTGCCTCAGCCTCCCTTCTGAGTAGCTGGGATTACAGGTGCGCACCACCATGCCCAGCTAATTTTTGTATTTTTAGTAGAGATGGGGTTTCACCATGTTGGCAAGCTGGTCACAGACTC